>NC_000006.12:4150909-4302424 GCF_000001405.40 Homo sapiens | reverse complement strand
CTGAGAATATTTTTTCAGATTTACTGCAAAATTTCACAGCCAGCCTGGAATGTCACTAGTGTTTTTGAAGTTCAGGCCCTGCTATGTCTTCGGAACATGCAATCCTCACAGAGGTCAAGGAAAACCAACCAGGAATGAAAAGCTGCATGATCGATACAGGCAGTAGAAATCCCATTGCCCTTTGGAAAGCAATTTATTTTTCTCTCCAGAACGAGAGCTATGTTCACTGAACATGAAGTCCTAAGTAGGAAGTAACACTTTTTCACTGTGCAGCTCAAGGAGAAGGAAATAGTTATTACTCAGAATAACTTTCCCATCTTAAACAAGAGCTTAACTGTAAAGAATGAACTTGAGAAGTCTCTCCTCTGGGAGCTGAGCTATTCATAACTCTTGGAAGCACAGTATGCACCCTGCAAAGGTCACTGTGATTCCCCTCCTCTTCATCACCAGTGGAGTTGGTACAGCAAACCAGTCCCTGGGTGGGGGCTGATTTATTTCAGTTGAGATGAGGTTACAAGTGGACTAAAGTCCTTCTGGAAACCAGCGAGTAAGCCCATATGGGCGAATGTGGGCAGGGGCTACTCTGTGAAGGGCAAAGTCTGAACAGCTCAATGCCACATCCAGGCCAAGCATTGCTCACCTTTCTTTCTGAGAATGGAGGATCCCTGGGTCAGATGCAGCCCTTGCCCCTCTCGGCTAGGTGACTGGATCTGGAGGCTGGTGGGCGGGGGGCACTTGAGCCAAGGTTGTGGGATTGGTATTCTCACCTTGGTCAATGCACGCCTCTCCCTGGCACCTTCTCTCCACTACCTCCCAAAGCAAAACACTCCGGGCACCCGCATTGTGTCCCTTTGCCTACATTTCCAGTTCCAGGACCTCAATTTTTAAAAATTTTATTTTCTTGTTAAAAACACTTATTAAGATCCCAGAGTGACTTTTAAAAAAGACATAGGTTGACAACATCTTGGTAGACTTCACTGATACCGTGACACCTGTTTAAACAAGAGTGCCTCCCAACTTGCTCCAAAACATGCTTTCTGAACCAGGGTCACAGGAGGAAAAAACCCCAAAACACTCCCTTTTAATAGTGCTTACCAGTTCTAACCCTGTCCCAACACCATAATGACCCATGAGGCCTGACATGGACTAGGGGGACATTATGACGAGGAGAGATGGGAGGTGTCATTGAGTCACGCAGCCTTCCCTGTTTGGGGGAGGATTATTCTTGGACCTACTCTCCTACCTTATTCTTGTGAGCAGTTTCCCTCACGAGGCCCTCCAGCCACAGGCTGTGGTGGAATTTGAACCTTATCAGACATGGTATCAGTGTTATCATGGGAGCCCAAGAAGTCATGTTAAAAGTGAAGAGATCAGATGATTAATGCAATTAAGGCAAGATGTTCTAGGACAAAGGGCAATGCGTGGAGTAGCTCTGTATAAGAAAATGCAGTGGCCTGGAAAAACAATACAGAGGAAATAGTCACTCGAAGGGCTTCACCATCACTGAAGCACAGAGCTCAGAAAATCCCACCTCTTCTGAAGAGTGTGGGCGACAGTTGGTTGTTCTTCCTGGCAGCTTGCTGGTAACAGTTATAACCCTCCCAAGAAGGGCTTTGGGTGCCCCGAAGCTTCAAAAGGCTACAGTGATGACAGGCTGAGGTGGGTATGCCTGCTTGTGCCTGCAAATACCCCACCATCGTCTGACCTAGGCTTACCTGGGCTCCTGTGATCAGCACAGTGACTGCCTGGGGTCAGAGGGAGTTTCTGTCTCTCCATTCTTCTCAATCAATTCAACAACTGTGTATCAGGTTCTATTCATGAGGTTCTCTACAGTTTACTGGGGAAGTTGTCTCTTCCCCAGGCCAAATTTTCTCCAAAGTATCCTACACAACCTGGCTTCAATATCTGTTCAGACCTGTTGACACATTCTAGTTTGTTAAAATCCCAGGACAGGAAAGTGCAAACGTCCATCACTGTAGTGTCAACTCCAGCTAGATGAGGACATGCTCTGGCGGGATGTGACCATTGCTTAGAAGCTTAGATTCCCTGCTTCTGCAGTCCCCTGTCACCACAGCTCATGCTGGAGCCCATCCTGGTTCCAGAATTCTGCCTGTAGTTTTCAAAAGGGGAATAAGCTAGATCCCAATAAGCGCATGAGCCTGTCCTTTTTGGGTGCAAGGCCCTGTGCAAATCAACCCAAGGACCTAACCTCTTCTGTCCTATCCCAACATCCTTATCCCTGGGAGATCAGGTTAAGATAGTGTATTAGTCAGGATTCTTCAGAGGGACAGAGACAATAGGATACATATATACGAAAGGGAATTTATTAGGGAGAATTGGCTCACATGATCACAAAAAGAAAGTCCCACCACCAGGTAGGCCGTCTGCAAGCAGAAGAGGAAGAGAGGCCAGCAGCATGCTGCAGTCCAGTCCAAAAGCCTCAACACCAGAGAAGCTGACAGTGTAGCCTCCAGTCCAAGGCTAAAGATGCAAGGTCCCCCAGGAGGCTACTGGTGCAAGTCCCACAGTCCAAAGGCCAAAGAACCTGGAGTTCAGCTGCCCAAGGAGGGCAGGAGAAAATATACCTACTGCTCTGGAAAAGAGAGAGAGCATTAAAAAGAAAGCCAAGCAAGCTGAATTTCCCTTTCTCCTGGTTGCTTTGTTCTAGCTGTGTTGCCAGCAGATTGCATGGTGCCCGTCCACACTGAGGGCAGGTCTTCCTCTCTCGGTCACTGACTCATGCATCAATCTCCTCTGGAAACACCCTCACAGACACACCCAGAAACAATGCTTCACCAGCCATCCAGGCATCCCTCAGTTCAGTCGACACCTAAAATTAACCACAATCAATTGACATCCAGAGTTCAGGCAGAACAGAAAATGACTGCTTCTTCATCTTTAGGCGGTGCATGAATGGCCTTGAATGCAAGCCTCAAATGTAACAAGAAAAAATGTTCTTGCTCTTTCTATTGCATAACAGTACACATATATAAGGGCTTTTGTATTTTTCTGTTGAGTTTAGTATCATTTAAATGCTCTACAGTACAGTTACACAGTCAGTGGCAGAATCAGGACTCGAATCTGGATCTTTTCCTTCCAAGGCCCTTGCTGACAGAAAGACTGAGTTTTTAAAATTAAGTAGGTCCGAATAGCTGGGCCAAATCTCACACTTTGAAAAAGAGGACAAGCATTTGTGTAGAGGAGCAGTTTGGGTGCCTACCCTGGGAGAGTGCAGTAGGGCAAGAAGATAAATAGAAATTTTTCACTGTAAATTTCTACTGTTCTTCAGGCCCAAGGATCTGGGAATTTCTAGGACAATGCAGTTTTGAACATCAGAAAGCTGCCTCATTCCTCCAGGGCTCAAGTCTGAAATATATTCAAGACCTCACCAATAATTGCTAACCAAGGAAACCATATCTGCAAAGAGAAGCAGTTTATCTGACAAATATGTATTTTTTTTTACACAGAAATGGAAAATAGATTGAATCCTGAATCTCTTGAATCCTAAATAAGCCTTATTTCAAGGAATACTCTACTATTTATGATAATCCTATGACAAACACAATGCTGCTTAAATGAAACGCATTTACCCTGGGGCCACTCGGTGAAATTGTCTTATGGAGGCCGCTTTAGTGGTTGAGGGATTGCCCTTCAATAATGCATTATTCAAGCTAAATGGATTTTAAAGGCCCTGTTAAACTCTTGACAATTTTTTTTAATTGAAGGTAGTGATGGTGAGATGGATATTTGAAGTGACCTAGAAATTACGAGGCAGGAAAAATAATGACAGAACACATTGATATGCTCTCTTATTTCTGGAGCTGGTACAACCTAAGCATAAATGGGACCATTGAGAGGGGACTAATTATTTTTCCCCTTGAAGAAAAAAACACTAGCTACAATGCAAACAGCGACACCTGAATCAAGACATTCCATTTTTGTTTAGTTCTAGCATCTCACAGTCAAGTTAAAAAAAAATAAACTGAACTACTACCTGAGATTAGAAGGCTCAAAATAGTAAGGGGAGAATAGGGTCCAAAACACACTGCTTTCATCATTTTTAATGTGAATTTCCCTCAGTTTTATTTCACATTTTTCTCATCTTATTAATACAATAGCACGGGTATAATTTGGCCTCTAGTTGATGGGTCAGAGTTCTTATCCAGAGAAGTGTACTTGTTAGCGGTGGAATGTATCTGAGTCACACGACACCAGAGTATGTTACCAGTGGCGAATCCATACAGATCTGCAGCAACCTCAATTCTTGCCTCCCCAGAAGAAAGAATTCAGCCAAGGGGCATAAGGCAGAAGGAGAGACCAAGGCAAGTTTTAGACCAAGAGTGAACATTTATTAAAAAGTTTTAGAGCAGAAATGAAAGGAAGTAAAGTCCACAAGCAAGAGGGCCAACCAGATGACTTGAGAGATCAAGTGAGTGGTGTGACCTTTTGACTTGAGGTTTCATATGTTGGCCTACTTCCGGGGTCTTGTGTTACTTCCCCCGCTTCCTTCCTTGGGGTGGGCTCTCCACATGCACAGTGGCCTGCTAGCCCTCGGGAGGGAAGCATGCGCAGTGTGTTTACTGGAGTTGTGCGCATGCTCCCTTGAGGCATTCTTACCTTACCAGTCTAGCATTCCTAGAGGAAGGTCATATGCTAGTTAAACTCCACCATTTTGTCCCTTAGTGCACATGCTTGAGCCCACTTGCCCAACTCCGGAGATCTTACAGGGAAGCCGCCAATCACGTTTCAGGTGTTTTCTATCTACTGGGAGACCGCCTTTCCCTGCTACCAGCTGCAACCAATTATTATTTTAGAGAGACAGTTAACAACCGCCTGACCATCACCAAATGGCCACTTGACATTCCTGGTGTGCCTGTGTTGGGAGGAGCCCTCTCCTGCCTGAGAGCTGCTGTGCTCTGAGAGCTGCTTGCATTTTCCATTTTCCCAGTTTGAGCTAATCATAGGTCTAGACCTCATTCTCTCTTCTTACTCAGTGCAGCGCATTTGCTCCTAAATGCAAATGCTGAGCTCAAAAAGTGCCCAGTAGAAGAGTTCCCACATAGGGAACGAGCATTCATTACTGAACTTCTGCCTTGTTTTATTCTTACTTCTTTAGACTGTCCTTAAACATAAATTACTGGCAAGCAACAAATAGCGATTGTGTTGCACACCATATGTTTTTCACATGTCAATAAAACCAGCCACTTACTCAAGAGTCTCATTTCGATGTCACCTGTCTGTCCCAGGTGTAGATAGCTATAGGTACAAGTGTGGACCTTTATCATTGTCTCCCCTTTCCCCATGCAGCCCTTCCTCCAGTTTCTCTAACAGCAACCTGTGTACTTCTCCTTCATAGACTCTTCCAGCTGTGATTGTGTGTAATAATTTGTTTAAAAGCCACCTCCTCAGCTAAACCGTAGGCCCGAGGAGGGCTGGAATGACATTTACCACTGTGTCCGCAGGTTGAGCACACTATGCAGGACCTATAATCAGTAGTTAATTCATATTTATTGAATGAATATAGAATGATGGGAGCCCCCAAAGCAGGCTATATCATTCAGGTCAGGACCTGACCAACTGTGCTGCCATTGCTCTCACTGTCTAACTGCTGTTTCTGGGCTGTGTTTCACATGTCACTCCAGTTGCATTGCTAGGGCTCCAGGATGACATACTTCTTTGATTCTTATCACATACTCCTTTGCTTTCCCAGGCTCCTGAGCATTCTAGGGACTCTACAGGACGGTGGTTGTCATGAATTAAACAGTGTTTCTCACTATCCCACTACACACCTGGCTGCTAAAACCCACTTATGAACCGAGCTCAAATTTCCATCCTCAAGGCTCGTGGGCCCCAGGCAAATCACAGGGTATGCTCAGACCCCTGCTTTCACCATTTCAAATGAAATTTACCTCAGCTTTATTTCATATTTTCCCATCTTATTAATAAAATAGCATGGGTATAATTAAGCCTTTCATTGATGGGTCACAGTTCCTATCCAGAGAAGTGCACTGAATTGCCAGATACAATGATGGCTTCTTCAGGGTTAAATGGGGAGAGAGTCATCATTCCCTGGGTTGGCGGGGGCAGGGACGAAAATGGGGAGGATTGATTCCAGGAGCCCCCTCGGATACCAAAATCCACAGATGCTCAAGCCCTTGATATAAAATGCCATCGTATTTGCACATAACCTATGTATATCCTTCCATATACTTTAAATCACCTGTAGATTATTGTAGTACTAATGCAATGTAAATGCCATGTAAATTGTTGCTATATTGTGTCATTTTTATCTGTATTATTTTTTATAGTTGCATTGGTATTTCTTAAATTTTTTTCAATATTTTTGAGCTATGGTTGATTGAATCTATGGATGCAAAATCCATGGGTATGTAGGGCTGACTGTATCTCCAAAGCAAGCCTCTCAGACTCCAGTGGCATCAGCCTTGCCTGGAGGGTTTGTTACAACACGAATTGTGAAGCTTTACCCCAGAGTTTCTGGTTCAGCAGGACTGGGGTGAGGCTGGTGGATTTGCATTTCTGTCCCGTTTCCAGGCAATGCAAAGCTGATGCTGCAGTCCAGGAACCCCACTTTGAGAACCCCTGCTCTCACTTGACCCCAAAAGCCCTGTGTTGAAGTCCAAGCTCTGTCTCCACCAAGTTCACTCTACTACATTTATAAATCATTTCTCCTGTGTTGGAGCATTTGAATGCCTTACCCTCTACTCTGCATTTCCCGGCTATCAGCTAAGTGGCTTGGAAGCTGAAGTGACCCTTTCAGGCCCTGTAGGATCTGATTCATCAGCTTGAATGCATCCTTTATTTTATGCATTTACAAGTCCAAGGCCGGCAGGGCACTGAAAGCCCCAGCTCACCCGTAAGTGTAGCCTGTGGCCTCGGAGATTGTGTGCTGCTTCCTAAGAAGCCTTGTAGCCGTGGAGTCAGCATCGTCAGCATTTGGTGCAGGATCAGGCAGCCTAATTTCTAGAGAAATCCCTCCCTCTCATTTAAGGAGCCCATCGCTGTAAAATGCAAACTTCCCCAGGAGCCTGAATGTTAGCTGGGACCTGAGAAAAAGTCCAAGAATATGGCCCCGACCTCTCTGGGACTGTGAAGAAGACCATTTGTAATACAGCTGATCCAGGAGGCGAGGCACCTGGGTGCTCAAATAAAACCCTTTGCTCTGTTTCGTAGGAAGCCTCCAAGACCACATCCCCTGACATCCTAAGTGATGTGAGTCTGGCTGAGCAGCACCCACTGGAGGTAAGCAAGATTGGACCAGCATCAGCCATGCCCTGCAGAAGGGGTGAGGGCATGAGGGCAAGGGGAGGGCAGCCTAGAGCAAATAATTCCTTCCAGAAGAAATGATGGTGTGCAGCAGTCCCCCTGCCCCTGCCCCTCACTGCTGTATGCGAGGAGTGGGCTGCTACTCTTTGCACTGGGCTAAGCAGCAGGGCTGCAGGGCTGGCTTTGGATGCATCGGCCGGTGGTAGGGTGCAGAGAGATGGTCTGTGACTGGGCTAAGCAGCTGGGCTGCAGGGCTGGCTTTGGATGCATCGGCCGGTGGTAGGGTGCAGAGAGATGGTCTGTGCGCTGGTGCCCACCAGCCTGAAGGACCAGAGCGGAGGACCCGTCTCACCTACCACAGGGTGTGGCCCCAGAGGCTGCCTGCAGGGGTGGGGCAAACTGCAGAGGGTGGATCCCAAGGCCAGGGTCTAAAGGCGGCTTCAGAAGTGGCCCCCAGAAGGAGGGGGCATGTTGCTCAAGTCTTGTGAAGGGCATCAGGGGCTGGCCATACAAGAATCACTGAGAAACAATCCCGCCCCTGATCCCTAAGAGAACGACTTTGAACATCTGCCAAGCCCAGAGGACATCAAAGCAGAACATGCAGCCCAGGTCTGGAAAGCTCTGTCTCTCCCTACAAGGCCTAGAACCTGGATCGTTACTGGTGCAGCCTCTGGGGGCAAGGTGAGGGAGGGAGGAATCCCGCAGCTTCCCTCTTCATGCAGGCTTTGGAGCTGGGTTAACATGCACTTCAAATTAAGTTTGGAGTAATATGCGTTAGATCGAACATTTTGTTTTATGAAATGAGACTATTCCCGTGGCTAGAGAGCCAGAAAAGGCTTGAGACACACTGAGAGTTTATCCAGGTCCCGGGAAAAAACTAGCCCAGGACCCAGGGGGAACAGGGTCCGGTTCCCTGGGGACAGCGGCATGTGGAGTCCAGTGTCTTCCTATACTGGGAGCATTTATCTATTTATAAGGTTTGATTTCCTAATTTAGGGATAGACATTTTTCTTTTTGATAATGGAAGCTTGCATTCATTGTACACTTTACTGCATGCCAAGAACTGTGCTAAACATTTAAATGTACACTTTCTAATTTCATTCTCAAGCAAACCTAGGAGGCACAACCATCTACTGTACAGACAAGGCATCTCAGGCAGTTATTCAGTTACTTGCACAGATAAAGAGTGGTGCAGCTGGGATTAGAACCCATGCAGTGGGATGTCCAAACCTGGACTTTTAATCCTCTGCAACAGTGGTTCTCAACCAGGGCAATTCAGCCCCCCAGGGGTCATTTAGCAATGTCTGGAGACATTTTTGGTTGTCAGAACTTGGGGTGGAGGGTGCTGTTGGCTTATATTGAGTGGAGACCAAGGATGCTGCTACATACCCTACAAAGTACAGAACAGCCTCCTAGAAAAAAGACATCTCCAGATGTCCACACTGCCCAGGCTGAAAAACCGTGCTCTGCTGCCTTCCTTTTATTGATTTTTCACTTATTTATTTATTTATTTTGAGAAAGGGTCTTGCTCTGTCACCCAGGCTGGAGTGGAGTGGCACGATCTCGGCTCACTGCAGCCTCAACCTCCGAAGTTCAAGTGATTGCTTGTGCCTCTGCCTCCAAAGTAGCTGGAATTACACCATTGCGCCACCATGCCCGGCTAATTTTTGTAACCCTGTCTCAGTAGAGACAGGGTTTTGCCATGTTGGCCAGGCTGGTCTCGAACTCCTGGCCTCAAGTGATCCACCCTGTGGTCCTCCTAAGTGCTGGGATTACAGGCATGAGCTACCGTGCCTGGCCAATTTTTCAAATGGAAATAGTTTTGTTTTTCTGAAAATAAACGTAATATATCATTACAAAAAAAAAAGTCCATATGGAAAAATAGACATTAAAAAATGAAAATGACCTGTAATCTCACTCACCAGAGACACTTATGGTTAATGTTTGTTTACATATGTTCAGATGTTTTCCTCTCTGGACCTGCACACATACACAGATTTTTCTTTCATGCCGTCTTTATGTTTGTCCTTTTTCAAAAATGGAATCATGTTGTAGGTGTTGATCCTTAAGCCTACATTTACTTAACCATACGTCGTACTTCACAATACGTATCGTAGACTTCTTTCCCAGTCAGTAAACACATGTCAGTGGTCACTGGTTCTCAGAGGCCATTCTGCCCCCTATCAAGGGTGGACGGGAAATGTGTGGGGGCTTTTCTGGTTGAGGGGTTCCTGGCATTTAGTGGGTGAGGTCCCAGGGAAGTCAGTCCCTCCATTGACGATTATCCCACATAATTTTGAAATATCACATCAGACATTCATGTAGTTGAAAATTCCTGCTTAAAATAATCTGAGCCAAGGCATAAACTTCATTTTAATTTAGACACGACTGATTTTTGCATGTTTTTAACATACACGATGTTTCTCAGGTATGTTGAGGGGTATTAAGGGAGGATTGTACCTTGCTTTGTTGGAAAATCCCATCCGCAATTGCCACTCAGCGGGATCCTGAGATCTGAGCTCCCAACACACACGTTTGAAGGGTCAACTTTCCTGGCTGGGACCTTCATGGTGGTTTTACACAGGGCAAACTTCACACACTCGGCATCTCCTCGTGTATGCATGCCTGTGCATTCCCATGTTGAAACGTTTCATTATAGATTCCTCTTTTTTTATTTCTCCTTTATATTACAGCGAAGGCAATGTATTGATTTTTTAAAACTTATGTGTGTTTTAAAACACACAGAAAGGGCTGTTATATTGATTTTTTAAAAAATCATATATATAGGTTATATTATCTATGAATTTCATTTCAGGATAGTAAAAGGAGTATTACAGGCACTTATCATAAAAAGGAGGCATTGCTCAGCTTGGGTGTGCTTAAGCTGAGAACCACTGATCCGTATCATCACATTTAACTCAGCCACACTCCCATGCTCACGGGCATCATGGTTTATTTGGCAAATCTATCACTGATAAATATTGAGGTGTGTGGGTTTATATAAGCAATACTCTGATGAACAAACATATTTATAAATATACTCTCTAGGCACTCACTGAATTATTTCCTTAGGAAAAAACTTCATAGGAGTAGAATTGCTGAGTCAAAGAGTATGCACATTTTCCATTTTGGTGTACTTTTTCCAAATTATCTCTTCATGAACGTATGAGTCACACCCATGTGAGACTCGGCGAGGGGAAGATGATGTCAGGCAGCAGGCACTGCAGGTGCTGGTTCCTGGGGTGGGGGACAGCGGAGGTCCCTTGCATGGGGCCGGAGGTTGGGGGCAGTAGTTCTCTGCTTCAACAGAACAATGCCTCATTGTAATTAACGTCCTTCCTGACCCAGTGGCCCCTGTGGAGTTAGCGAGGATCCTTTCATACGTTTCTTTCCAGCATAAACTATAAACAAGCATGAGTGGATTCTGTTAATTGCAACAAATACAGTCATGTGTCACTGAGTGACGGGGATGCATTCTGAGAAATGCACTGTTGGGTGATTTTGTTGGTGGAATGTACCATGGAATGTACTTACCTACACACCTAGGCTGTATGGTAGATCCTATTGCTCCTAGGCTACAAACCTCTACAGCAGGCTACTGTGCTGAATACTGTAGGCAACTGTGACACAATGGGATGTATTTGTGCACCTAAACATACTGAGACATAGAAAAGGTACAGAAAAAAATATGGTATAAACGGTAAAAAGTGGTCCACCTGTATAGGGCCCTTACAATGAATGGAGCTTGCAGGATGGAAGTTGCTCTAGGTGAGTCAGTGAGTGGGGAGTGAATGTGAACACTTGGTACATTCGTGTGCACTACTGCAGACGTTATACACATTGCACATTGAGGCTACACTTGATTTCTTTTTAAAAATTGTTCTGTTTTCAATGAGTTCACCTTAGCTTACCAGAACTTTTTTACTTTATAAACTTTTTACCTTTTTAAAACTTTCTGACTGTTGTAATAATACTTAGCTTAAAACACAAACACAGCTAGGTACAGTGTCTCATGCCTGTAATCTCAACACTTTGGGAGGCTGAGGTGGGAGGACTGCTTGAGCCCAGGAGTTCTAGACCAGCCTGAGCAACATACCAAGTCCCTGTCTCTACAAAAAAATAAAAAAGTTTAGGCCAGAAATGGTGGCTGATGCCTGTAATCTCAGCACTTTGGGAGGCTGAGGCAGGTGGATCACCTGAAGTCAGGAGTTTCAGACCAGCCTGACCAACATGGTTAAACCCTATCTGTACTAAAAATACCAAACAATTAGCTGGGCATGATAACACCCACCTGTAATCCCAGCTACTCAGGAGGCTGAGGCAGGAGAATCACTTGAACCCAGGAGGCGGAGGTTGCAGTGACCTGAGATTGCACCATTGCACTCCAGCCTGGGTGACAGATCAAGACTCTGTCTTAAAATAAATAAATAAGTTTAGCCAGGTGTGGTGGCATGCACTTATGGCCCTAGATACTCAGGAGGCTGAGGCAGGAGGATTGCTTCAGCCCAGGAGTTTGAGGCTGCAGTGAGCTATGTTGCAACTACTGTGCTTTAGCCTGGAAGACAGAATAAGACCCTGTCTAAAAAAGAAAAAATCAAAAGAAAAACACACAAACACATTGCATAGCTACCCAAAAATGTTTTTTCTTTACATCCTTATTCTATATGATTTCTTCTATTTAAATTTTTTTTGTTTTTATTTTTTTACTTAAAATTTATTTTTGGTTAAAAAGTAAAACACAAACACACACATTAGCCTAGGCCCACACAAGGTCAGAATCATCCACATCACTGTCTTCCACCTCCCCTCCACTGGAAGGTTTTCAGGGGCAGTAACATACACAGAGCTGTCATCTCCTATGATAACAATGTCTTCTTCTGGAATCCCTCCTGAAGGACCTGCCTGAGGCTATTTTACAATTAACTTTTTATAGATGGAAAGAATACACTCCAAAATAATGACTAAAAAGTATAGACTAGTAAATACACAAACCAGTGACAGTAATTTATTGTCATTATCAAGCATTATGTGCTGTACATAATTGCATGTCCTCTACTTGTATGTGACTGTCAGCACAGTAGTTTGTTCACACCAGCATCGCCACACACACGTGAGTAATGCATTGTACTATGACATGAGGATGGCTATGACATCACTAGGTGATAGGAGGTTTTCAGCTCCATTATAATCTTGTGGACCCACCATTGTTTATGCAATCCATCATTGCCCAAAACACTGTTATGCAGTGCATGACTGTATTCCCGACTGATGCAGAAACTTAGCTCGGTTTCAAGTGACTTCAGTCTATCTTAGTGCTGTTTCTCACTTGGACTTTGTTATGTGTTGGACTGAGTCCCCCCCCAAATTTCTGTGTTGAAGCCCTCACCCCTGGTACCTCAGAATGTGACCTTATTTGGAGAGAGGGTTGTTGCAGATGTAAATTAGTGAAGGCGGGGTCGTACTGGGATAGGGTAGGCCTGTCATCCAATATGACTGGTGTCCTTATAAAAAAGGGCCATTTGCATGCAGACATGCACACAAGGAGAACGCCATGTGAAGATGAAGATAGAGATCAGGAGGATTCTCCTGCTAGCCAAGGAACGTCAAAGCTTGCCAGCAATCTACCAGAAGGTACCAGAGCAGCGTGGAACAGATGCTCCCTCCCAGCCCTCAGAAGGAACCAACTCTGCCAACACCTTGACTTTGGACCTTAAGACAATAAGTTTCTGTTGTTTAAGCCCCCAGCTTGCAGTGTTGTTGTTTTTTTCTGAGATGGAGTTTCGCTCTTGTTGCCCAGGCTGGAGTGCAATGGCGCCATCTCAGCTCACTGCAACCTCCGCCTCCCGGGTTCAAGTGATTCTCCTGCCTCAGTCTCCCAAGTAGCTGGGACTGCAGACACACGCCACCACACCAGGCTAAGTTTTGTGTTTTTAGTAGAGATGGGGTTTCACCATGTTGGCCAGGCTGGTCTCAAACCATGTTGGCCAGGCTGGTCTCGAACTCCTGACCTCAGGCGATCCACCCACCTCGGCCTCCAAAATTGTTGGGATTACCAGTGTGAGCCACTGCCCCTGGCCTGTATTACTTTCTTATTGCAGCGCTAACAACTAGTACAGACTTCTAAGCTTCAATTCCTGAATGTATCAAGACCTGATAGCCGAAGTGCCATCACTGCCCAGCAGAATTGTTGAATGTTAAAGCTTGAGGCAATCTCAGGTGTCATCTTGTCCACCCTCCAACTGTGACATACAAAGAATTAAAATCCAAACAGGGCATGTGACTGTCCAAAATCAAACAGTTGGTTGGCAGCAGGGCCAGGTCTAAAACCCTGATCCTTTAGGTCCTTCCCAACTTCCCTTCTGCTGTGATGAGAACTAAAAGGGCAGCAAAGCTCCATAGGTAGGTTTGGGCAGAAAATGCCCTGCGAGGCTTATAACTACTATGTCATTATATCCCATCAAAATCACCTGGGGAGTCTTTAAAAGAAGAGTGTGGGCCTCTTCCCAGGACTCACTGAATCACATTTCTCAGAGTGTGATCTGAAAATCTGCATATTTTAAATTTTCAACTGGTTTGAAAATTCTTGCACACCACCCTCCTCTATGGCTGCAAGTGAGGGGGTGGGCCTGGCTGGGGGGCAAACAGCCTGGGTTGGGGGCTGCCAGCTGTGTGACCTTGGGCACCCTAGTGAAGTTCTCTAAGTCTCAGCTTCCTCATATATAAAAGGAAAGAACAGTGATGCCATTTATTGCCTCATTAGGCTGTATAGAATCAAAAAAGAAAATTCAGGTATGGCACATAGCAGGGTGCCTGGCATGTAGTAAACACTCATTAGAATTCAGCTATTATTATATTGTTATTCATAAAGAAGTGGGCATGACATTTACGACGCCTAATCTTCAGGCCCCGCCACTCCCCAATGTCAGGGGCTGTGCTTTGCCTGTGTTTTCCTCCTCTAACGAGGTCATAGAGTCACACTAGTCTATTTGCCTGGATATCTTTCTCCATCTCCCCAGATCCTACTCACCCTTCCAGGACAAGTGTCACCTCCTCTTGGCACCTTCCTTAGTCCCCAAAGTCACGTGCTGGCTTCCTCCCTGTGTCCCCAGCCCCTTGTCCAAACCTCCTCTTGGCCTCGTTCCCAGTCCGACGGATGGCAGGGTGGTGTCTGTGTCTCAGCCCTCACTAGCCTGTCGTCCTGTACTGAGCGCTGTGGCTCAGAGGAGGTGCTCAGCAACATTAACTAAATCGGATTAAATATGCATGCTCATTCCATTCCAAACAATGCCCTGCTGGACTTCTCTGCTGGCGGCGAGTCAGCTTTCCAAGTGACTCTGTTTCACCGACACCACCTTTTATAGGAGCACGAAGGAAGAACAGGCAAAGTGCTCAGGTCAAAGGTGGCACTTACCCTCAAATGTAATTCCTAGGGACTGTCACAGGGATTCTGGGTCATGGGTTTCTGAAAGATGCTTCTTTCAAGGTTGCAATGGGCAGCTCGTGGTGATTTCCATGGAATCTGTACGGCAGATGCTGACTCTAATACAGAGTGATGTGCATCGATTCCCCAAAGAAAAGAGCGGTAGTTAAGGAATAAAAACATCACTGTGGGCAGAGGCGATATTAATCATGGCCACTGCTCTGCAAGAACGCTGCTTCATAGGACACTATCTGTGCCTACGTTTCTTATCATGGAAGTTTCAGGGTATTAGGTCAGGTGAGATGAAAGAGGGAGACAGAGAGAGAGAAATTGATTAATGGTGTACTGCTGAGTTATTTTTCTCTTAAATATCTTCTCCTTTTCATCTGTTATAACATCCTGACCTGAAGGAAATTTCTTACGTCCTCTCCTCTTAATGAGATGTGGCTGCACAGGCTTGAGATAGATGCTGTCAATCAGGTGGACCATTGTGAACAAAAATACAGGCAGCTCCCAGGGTTGAGGTGATGGGCAAGAAGGATGACACTGGATGATTAAAATCCACCAAAAATCTCCAGCCTCCTATTTACCCTAACTTTTGACTGCTCTCCCGCCTTCCCGGGTTTACCAGAGTGCTAATGATTTGGCAAATGCTTAGGCACTCCGTGACCTGGAGTTTTCCTGCCACTGTGCAGTAAACTAGTAATCCCTGGAGAGAAAGGGGGTTTTCATTTCTTTCTAGAGGGCCTCTTCCTCTTGAAACTCACTGTCTAAACTTTGCCTCCTCCTGTCTTTCTTTTCACTGTAGGTTATCTATTCATTAATAATTGCTGCCTCCTCCTCCTCTGTGCTGTATCTTAAATTGATTCCTTTCTCTCTCTGCCCAAAGGAAAATATCTGCACTTTAGCCTAGAACCTCATTCCCTCATCTTGGAACCCTGCAACCTCCTTCCTGGTTACAGACAACCTCAGCCACAAATCTTCACAGACACCAACAAACTCTTCATCCTGATGGTCAAAGCTCTCCTGGTCCTGACCCCTCAGGCCTTGTTAAATATTGCTTGCTCTCTCTCCTTTATCTATTACCTAACTATCTATCTACCTATCATGTATGTTTCCTTTGTCAATATATACCTATCATATTTATCATTTATCTCATCTATCATTTGGATCTATTTATCACCTATTTATCATATGCATCTGTCATCTGTCTATAATACACATCTATCAATCATATGCATCTGTCTATCATTACCCTCTAATCCCATCCGCTTTACCTGAATCAGGACCTTGTTCTCTCTGCCCCTGGAATAGCATGGTGGCCTCAAGACTTCTTAAATGGGGGCTTAGGGCTCCAAAGGCAAGTTATCCCTAGAAAACCAAAGGAAGTCTTGCCTTTTATGACTGAGCCTCATAAGTCACACAGTATCACCACCATCATAGCCACAGCCCATCCAAATTCAAGAAGAGGGAATACAGAGCACAGCTCTCATTCAAAGGAGTGTCAAAGTCATGTTGTAATAAGAGTGTGAGTTAGGAGCTATCATTGAAACCATCTTTGGGAAACACAGCATGCCACACCCCACTGCCTAGGTTAAAGTATCTTAACTGCATAATGACATTTCCATCTATGGCAGACCAAATATGCAATGGCGGTCTTATAAGATTATAGTGGAGCTGTCCTATACAGTGTACCAATTTTAATCTTTTAAATTATTTATTTACTGTACTTTCCTGTGTTTAAATATGTTTAGATAAACAAATCCCTACCATTGTGTTACAATTGCCTACGGTATTCAGTACATTAACCTGCTGTCCAGATTTGCAGGTGAGGAACAATAGGCCATACCTTATAGCCTAGGTGTGTAGGAGGCCACCCCATCTCAGTTTGTGTAAATACACTCTATGATGGTCAGATGATGATGAAATCGACTAACGATGCATTTCTCAGAACAGATCCCCGTCATGAAGGAACACATAACTGTACTACTTGAACCAGTGACTGAATTCAAGAAAAGAAATAATTTGTCAATTGCATATTAGTTTAATCTGCAGCAAAAATCAAGTAAACTTTTATTAGGCTTCCTATTTAAAATGTGAAAACTTCTGTTAGAATTTGTATAAGAGAAAAGGTTGTGTGCAAGATCAAAACAGGTAGGGAGAGGCTAGGGATGACCACTTAAGGACTTGAAATCCTAATTGGAAGTAGAATTGGTCTTGGGAAAGAAATGCCTCTAGGAACTATCCAAGCAGTTTTCCAACTTCTCCACTGTCTGGCTCCCCCTCCAGATTCTTTAACCACCCTTATTCTTACCCTTATTCCCTTATTCTTTTAATCTCTTAAATTCTACAATCCAGGCATATCAAGTTTTTGTAGTTTCTTTTTTTTTGAGAAGGAGTCTCAGTCTGTCGCCCAGGCCGGACTGCAGTGGCACTATCTCGGCTCACTGCAAGCTCCGCCTCCTGGGTTCACACCATTCTCTTGCCTCAGCCTCCCGAGTAGCTGGGACTACAGGCACCCGCCACCACACCCAGCTAATTTTTTGTATTTTTAGTACAGACGGGGTTTCACCGTGTTAGCCAGGATGGTCTCGATCTCCTAACCTCGTGATCCACCCGCCTTGGCCTCCCAAAGTGCTGGGATTACAGGCGTGAGCCACCGTGCCCAGCCTTTGTAGTTTCTTAAACTTGCTGCAAACTCAGTCTCCTTAGGACCTTTGCACATGCTGCTTCCAGCCACCTATAAACATTTCTATTCCTAATTCAGGGCTAGCTTAGGTGTTACCTTCTCCAGGAGGCCTACTGAGACACACTTCTCTTTCCTACCATCCGAAAATATCCCATCTTTTGGGCTCTGCCTGGTTACTTGTCCATCTCCTCTACTAACCTATAAGCTCTATGAAGGCAGAGACAAAATCCATCTCTATAATGGTGACCTGACAGTGCCTGGCACACAGGAAGTCCTCAAAGAATATGTTGCAGATTCTGTCACTGCCCCATCCATAGCCCCTTGTGCTTATCTCTTTAGTTGAAGCTGGTCCAACTTCCAACTGCCAGCCCCTGCTTGCCCCAGGGCTTTCTCTGGCCACTAAAGCCTGCTTTGCCTATTTCAGGATCAAGGCATAAGTTCCAGGAAAGTCATGCTCCCTAGGAGCAGCCTCAACCAGTGATTGATGGGACTTTGTGTAGAAATACCCAAGCTTCCTCACCCCTTGGTGAGATAACTCTGAGGCATGTATTCTACACTGGATCTTAAAGTTTCCCAGTATGATTAAGCTCCCACAATGGTAGCAAATTCAACAATGCACCCTTTACTGGCCACCCTCCTTTCTGTCTTCTTCACTTCCAGAGTGCCAATAAACTCCTTGCTCTTGAATCCTTGACTTAGCATCTGCTTCCCTGAGAACCCACTCTAGGACAGAATGTTTGCTGAATCAATGAGTGAGCCTCTGTCCCAGTCTCTGCCGCCCACTCAGCACACCACAACTGGTGCATGAAAACTGATTGCTAGTAGGCATACATGTTCCGAGCAGGGGAGAGCATATACACAACAGGAAATTTCAAATCTTCATTTCTGTCTCTACTGGCATTTATCATTGAGACCATGCAAAGAAACCTTATTTTATTTAAAAGTGCAATGTTGAAGAGTGGCATTGAATAAGATGATTAAATAAGTAACATGGCACCTGTGAGTGTAATTAGCTCTAGCAATAGAGACCAAGACTGGCTAGATTATTTGCCAGAGAAATACTACTACTTGGTTTTCGTCTGCCTGGCAACAGACTGACATTGTACAATCCTTCTCCCATCCTGCTGCACTAATGGAGACTAAGAGCCACTCCAAGTGGGTCACCAAACAGTGGACTGGATGAAAATGTTGAAGGCAGGAATGAAATTCAGTCTTTTTCTTTTTTTTCCCTCCACTACAAATCACTGTAATTTGGAGAGGGGATTTGCAGTGGATTATACATGGCTCTAGGGCCACAGAGGGTACCTTCTCTTTTATTCCCCTGACACACTTCATCCTACAATTCTCCATTTTTCCTTAGCAGGGGAAGAATATTGCACTGGTTCTTTGGGGGATGAATACTAGAGATACTCGAAAAGTATGCAGCTTAATCCTGCGAGGGGTCCTTTAGAGTCGGAAAATTGATGGTCCAAGATTTGAAGTTCTCCTTGGGCCAAAACCCAGCTCCATCTCTAAGGGTGAGGGCAGAAGGGAGAAGCAGGCCTACAAAAAAATGGTATTTGTACTTCCCTCCTATTCTCAAAAGAAAGTGGTCTTAATTAAACATGAGTGATTCTTGACAGGGTAAAGAAATCTTAAGAAACTAAGAACTCAAAGAGTTGAAGAAGAGAGAGCAGTCTTGCTGTACTCAGAGTGTGTGCCTGAGTGTACCTGCACGTGCACGGGTGGGGAGTGGAGGGACAGGTTTCCCACTTTACTTGAATCTGGACTCTCCTCTCTAAGGCTGACTGACATGTTTCCCTGCTTCCATCCCTTCCTTTCAAATTCAATCACCTCACCATGTTACCAGCCCAGATCTTACCGTTGGACTGTGCTGACAAGTGATAAGTGTGTCCCTGTTGCCTCCAGGGACTGAGACCCCTGCAGAGCCCAGACAGGATCCCAGGAAGCCTGAGGGAATGGCAGGGACTGAGACAAAGGGCAAGCTGGTGCCTGGTTTCCAGGAAGCAGCTACAACCTGGAGCCAGCTTATGGCAGGATGGTGAGTCCAGTGACATCAAACCCTCCGATTTTTCCAAGAGATGCCAGAAAGGTACTGACTTTTAAAACTTTATAAGAATTAAACAAAACAAGTACGTAGGGTTTAAAAAAAAAAAAAAAAAGGTCATCTCATGGCCACCAGCTTGCAAGCTCCAGCCTACAAGATAAAGCTTAAGTCCTTAAGCATGACCTCCAAAGTCCTTTATGGTCTTGTCTGCCCCTGTTGTAGTTCCAGAACTACTCAGTCCTTTGTCCCCAAAGCCCCAACCCACACCTCTCCCTGAGTGTCAGCTCAAGCTAGTATGTAGGATTGAAAAGGACAGTACAGATTTGTCTTGACATGGAGTTCACATTTCACATAGCAAACTAGCTATTTATGCTTAGAATGCTTATTTAGGGTAGCTTTGAAGGGTGTTGAGGAGATTATGGGAGGGCACCAAACCCCCCGACTCTGGTTTCCTCTAACAAGAACGTTCTTCTATGCTCTTGGCCACCTTGCAAAATTGTATCTGTTCTTCAAAACTCAGGTTGAGCGTCCCTGGAGACTTTACTGACTCCAGAAAGAATCGCTCTCTTTCCCCCTCCCTGCTCCATCCACCCCCCTCCCCGCTCCATCCACCCCCTCCCCCCACACCTTGCATACATTTTTCACTATTATATGTGTGGTAATGTGCTGTATTATTGCTCCCACGTCTGCTCCCCTGCGGACTGTGAACTGTCGAGTTTGAGGACTGCGTCTCATCCTCAGGGCTTTGTTCCCAGAGCCCTCCCTCTGCTTCTGTATTCCGACACGGAGTCATCTATCACACTTCTGCGAACACACCAGACATCCAATAGCTGCTTGTTGTAATGAAACCAAAAGGAGAACTGAGAATTCACGTTGCCAGACTCCTGATTCACAACTTTCCTGTAGAACGCACCTCGCCCGCCACCTGCCTAACCCACTTACGTAACCCAGTTTGGCGTTTCCTATGTCTCACTGGGCCTGCGAGGTTGTGCGGCGGCCCCACCTGCTGCGGAGCTGGGGGACTGCCGCGGGGGAGCAGGTGGACCGCAGAGCGCAATTACGCAGAGCCGTGTCTGGCCAGATTGGGAGCGGGAACAGCTTCGTCAGACTGCCTGGGTGCAGCACCTGGGCTGTGAGAAAGGCGAGAAGGGAAGGATGAGCCATATCACCGCGCTTGCGGAGGACGTGGCGCTGGAGCGTGGGCAGGGTCTGCGGGGTGCAGCCAGAGGGATTGGCGCAGCTCCCTGAGAACCACCTGGGTTTCTGGGTAGGAGGAGTCCTGGGAAAGACCTTGCATGGGTGGATGAAACAATCTTCTATTTGTGGTGGACGCCAAGGGGAGTGTTCGGAGACGCCCAGGCATGTGGGCAGGGGAGGGTGGCTGCAACGCCTTCGGCACCTGGGGTTCTTGCACCAGCTGGACCAAACCATGGACCGAGAGACAGATGGTCCTTCATCTCCCAGTGCCTGTCCAGGTGAGCATACGAGGCAGCGATTCTGACCCTGCGTTTGGTCTGCCTCCTGGACTCGAATGGAGCCACACATGTCCACGGGAAGAAAACGGGGTTGCCCCAAACAGTGTTCCCTGGAACCACAGGCCCAGGCAAATTTCCGTTGAGGCAGTGAGAAGTATTTGGAAAATAAATGCACCCTTTACCAGAGAAGGGACCTCATCATCTTTGACATTTTGAAACCCTGGGGGGAATGTCTTTGGTGCCAGGACTTGCCTTGCATTATTTCAGTTAATCTCACGCCACCTCCCGGGGTAGGTATCATTTTAAATCATCAGAGACCTCATGTTTGCCCCCAGAGCAGGCACCAGCTGCTGCTGGTAAGATCCACACACGGTCCCCCACCCCTTGCCCCATGCCAGTTTTCTTTTGGTGGGCTTGCATTAATCCAAGCTTCTATGTGGTGACCTGGGAGAGAGGAGCAGGCTAGGTGATGGGGAGAAGGTGGTGATGGAATGCTATGTTTCCCCCCTCTAAGGGCTTCCACCAGCTGGAGTATGGCCAGGAATACAAGGGCATGACGCTGATAGGATTCTTCAAGTATGAGTCAAGGACTCCAGGGCTGGGCAGACTTGCTTGCTGCATTTGGAGTGGAGGAGACTATTCTTCTTGTCTGCATAGAAACAGCCCTGCTCTGGTGCCCATAGGACAGGGAGCTTTGAATGAATCCCAAAACAACAACCTTGCCTGGTTTTGGCAATGCAATGACAAGCACTCCTTGTGGCCCTGCAGAAACAAGGTGGGTGGAGGTGGGGAACAGGTGCAGGAGAGTCAACGGGAGTGATGTGATGGAGCAGACGACTGCAGCTAACAGACTGGCTCTGCGCACAGGAGACACTCTTTTGAGACTCAGAACAAATAGGGGACACTGTGAAGAGGGTTTCTGGAAGCCAGGCTGGGGAGGGTGTAGCTTTGGTAACTATAATTTGTCATTAAAAATGAGTGTGTCATATTACAGACACAGGCCCACGAGGTCACTTGGTCACCTGGATCACACCACCGTAATGAAGATAAAAAAACAGATTCAGAGAAATTAAGTACTTTTTCAAAATTCCACACTAAGACAGGGGAACGGAGAACAAGCAGTTGGGATGGGAAACCAGCTCTTCCTAATTCCTCGGGAGAGCACAGTACTGTGGGAACTACAGTCTTTCATTCTCATCACAGATCTAGCTGTTCTTCTGTGGCAAGTGAGGTAATTGCTTGAATGTTAGTTTTTTTGCCTTGACTTCTTCATCTTTTTTTTTTTTTTTTTTTTTTGAGATGAAATTTCACTCTTGTTACTCAGGCTGGACTGCAATGGCGCAATCTCGGCTCATTGCAACCGCCGCCTCCTGGGTTCAAGTGATTCTCCTGCCTCAGCCTCCTAAGTAGCTGGGATTACATGTGCATGCCACGACACCTGGCTAATTTTTGTATTTTTAGTAGAGATGGGATTTCACCATGTTAGCCAGGCTAGTCACGAACTCCTGACCTCAGGTGATCCACCGGCCTCAGCCTCCCGAAGTGCTGGGATTATAGGCGTGAGCCACCATGGCCAGCTGATTTCTTCATCTTTTAGTGAAATTCATATAGTACCTACACCTAATAACCCTAGTAAAATGGAATCGTTAAGGTCTCATAAGGAAATATAGTTGAGCTCATCTGGTACAAAGAAGATAATTTACAGACAAGGTGAAGCATTCCATTTTTTAATGTAGCTGGAGTAAATAGGAGTGACTTACATTGCAGAAAAACTAAACTGTTGCAAATGGAAGTTGAGTAACTGTTGAAATCAGTGATTTGTCTTGTTTTTTTAAGAATAACACTCTAGAAGACAATAACATTAACATGGCAATACTCCTTAAGTTGATCTACAGATTCAATGCAATCCTTATGAAAATTCCTGCCGCCTCTTTTGTCTAAATTGACAAACTGATCATAAAATTTATATAGAAATACACGGGACCCAGAATAGCCAAAACAGTCTTGAAAAAAAACAAAGTTGAAAGACACAAACTTTCCAATTTCAAAATGTATGACAAATCTACACTAACCAAGACAGTGCAGTACTGCCATAAGGATAGACATGTATTGAGAGTCCAGAAATAAAATCATATATTTATAGTTAATTGGTTTTTGACAAGGGTTCCCAGGAAACCCAATGAAGAAAGAATAGTCTTTCAAACAAATGGTGTTGGAATAACTGGCTATCCACATGGAAAAGAATGAAGTTGGACCTGTACCTCACACCACATACAAAATTAGCTCAAAATGAATCAGAGATTTAAGTGTAAGTGCTAAGATATGATACTCTAAAAAGAACAGAGGAGTAAATCTGTGTGACCTTGGATTAAGCAATGGTTTCTTAGACGTGACACCAAAAGCGTTAAGCAAAAAAAGAAAAAGAAAGATACATCAAAATTATGGATTTTACAGATGAAGTCAAAAAATAGACTTGATCAACATTAAAAACTTTTTTGTGGCAAAGGGCACTATCAAGAAAGTGACAAGACAACCCACAGAATAGGAGAAAATACTTGCAAATCATATATATGATAAGCATCTAGTATTTAGAATATATAAAGAGTTCTTATAATGTAATCATAAAAAGACAAGGAACGAAATTTTTTGAGCAACCGATTTGAATAGGCAGAAATTACATACAAAAAAGATATACAAATGGCCAATATGCAAAGAAAAGATGTTCAGCATCACTAGTAATTAGGAAAATGAAAATCAAAACCACAATGAGGTACCACTTCGCACCTACCAGGATAGCTATAATAAAAAAGATAGACAAATGTGGCGGAGAGAGTGTGGAGATACTGGAACTCTCATACACTGCTGGTGAAAATGTAAAATGGTGTTTCCCTCTGGAAAACAATTTTGCTATTCTAAAGTAAATTAAACAGTAATTCTGTTCCTAGATACATGCCTAAGAGAATTGAAAAGATACATCCACATAATAACCTGTACACAAAGGTTCACAGAGGCATTATTCATGATAGCCAAAAAGTGAAAACAACACAAATGTCTATCAATTGATGAATGGATAAACAAAATGTGGTCTATACATACAATTGAATATTATTCAGCCATGAGAAGAATGAAAAACCAATATATACAACAACATGGGTGAACCTTGAGAACATTATGCTACATAAAATAAGCCAGACCCCAAAAGCCACGTTATAGATTCCATTTATATGAAGTCTGGAAAGGCAAATCCATAGAGACAGAAAGTAGATTAGTGGTTGCCAAGGGCTGGAGGAGGGGAGCATGGGAAGTGACTATTAATGGGGTTGGTGTTTCTTTCTGGGAGTAATAGAAATGTCCTGGAATTAGTGGTGATGGTTACAAAACTTTGTGATTACATTAAAAACCATCAAATTGTACACTTTAAAAAGGCAAATTTTATGGAATATTAATTACATCTCAATAAAAAAATGCTCAGGTGTAGGAGAAAGGAAGGAAGGAAAGAAGGAAGGAAGGAGAGAGAGAGAAAGAAAGAAGGAAGGAAGGAAAGAAAAAAAGAAAAAGAGAGAGGGGGAGGGAGAGAGGGAGGGAGAGAGGAAGGAAGGAAAGAAGGAAGGAAGGAAGGAAGGGAGGGAGGGAGGGAGGGAAAGAGAGACAGAAAGATAGAATAACACTATAAGAAGTGTGTTGTCTGGCCCGACAGTGCAACCCACACTCTTCCAAGAAAAAAGAACGGCATGTCCCCCACAGAGAACAAGAAGGGGGGTCTCCACTGTCTCTTATATTAGGGTTTTCCACTTAGACAAAACAAATAGGATGGATGGACAGATGATAGATAATGAGAGAGGATTCATTAGGAAAAATGACTCGTGATTATGGAGGCTGAGAAGTCCCACGAAGAGCCAACGGCAAGCCGGAGGCCCAGGGAAGTCGACAGTGTGGCTCAGTCCAAGACTAAGGCCTGAGAATCCTATGGGGTATGTGCAAGTTCCAGAGTTGAAGGCCAAAGAACCTGGAGTGCTGGTGTCCAAGGGTAGGAGGAGAAGGGTGTCCCAGCTCCAGAAGAAGAGGGAAAATTTGCCCTCCCTCTGCCTTTTTGTTCTATCAGGACTCTCAGCAGATTGGCTGGTGCCCGCCCACACTGGGTGAGGGCGGATCTTCCTTACTCAGTCCACTGATTCAAATGTCAATCTCTTCTGGAAACACCCTCACAGACATACCAAGAAATAATGCTTTGCCAGCTGAGTACCCCATAATCTAGGCAAGTCGACACCTAAAATGAACCATCACGTTTCTTATGCTCAGGCAGTTCAGACACCTGTACCTAGAGCTAGTGCAAAGAACACTTCCGTCCGGGCTTCAAGAATCTCCGCTATCGAACCTGGGGCTCCTTGTAGCCCACATTTGACCTTCCCATGCTGCTATATTCTGGAAACCAGATTGTATCTAAGAAATGTAATAGGTTTCTACATGTTACCCAGATCCAAAACATGAATGGCCTTAAAGAATTCAAATTGCAAAGGAAGCAATCCACAGTTTACAAACATGTTCACTGCAGCACTCCTTATAAGACTGAAAAACTAGAAACAACCTAACTAACAATAGGGAAAATCATGGTACATCCTTACAATGGAATAGTATAGAACTCTAAGAAAAGTCATGACTGTAAGAGGTTTTAGTGATATGGGAAATGCTATGATCGTGACAAGCAGAACATAAAATGCAAGATACCAAATTATATGTGTATGGTGTTCTCGACTATGGTAAAAAATATATATATACTTACCTTAAGAAATATAAGAATTTTCAACAACCTCCACCAAAAAAAGAAAAAAGGAATATGAGGATTCAGCCAGAGGTGAGATATTTTAAAAAAGAAAGAAAGAAGAAAGAAATACAGGAAGAAATATGCCATAATACTGTTAATGATCACCTTTAGTGGGTGCATTTTTTACTCTTTCACAATAAAATTTTCTTTTCAAAATTTCCACAATAGGCATGTAATCCTTTGTTATCAGAAAAAAAGGAATCATTTGGGAGGGAAATTCCAGGTAGCAAAATAGAAGAAATGTAACAGAACACCAAATGTGCCACCAGGGATGAGCTGGAAGAGTTAATTGACCTCCTGCACTGCAGCATCCCATGCAGAGAAGCAAAAGTGGGAGGAATGGTGTCTGCTTGGACATGAACAGGGTCCATCATGGGGCTTCAGGAATGGCTTGTGGATTCAGGCCTCCTTCTGGCTGGGGAGCCTCACCTAGCGTTGACTAGGAGCAAGGATACCATGGATCTAGTGGGCTGCCAGCAGGTGCAACCGTGTTGATTAACCAGATTGGTGATGAGGACTTGTAGAATTTCTTTTTTTTTTTTTTGAGACGGAGTCTCACTTTGTCGCCCAGGCTGGAATGCAGTGGCGCGATCTCAGTTCACTGCAAGCTCTGCCTCCCGGGTTCACGCCATTCTCCTGCCTCAGCCTCCTGAGTAGCTGGGGCTACAGGCGCCCGCCACCACGCCCGGCTAATTTTTTGTATTTTTAGTAGAGACGGGGTTTCACCATGTTAGCCAGGATGGTCTTGATCTCCTGACCTTGTGATCTGCCCGCCTCGACCTCCCAAAGTGCTGGGATTACAGGCGTGAACCACCGTGCCCAGCGAGGACTTACAGAATTTCTAAAATCATTTCCTATACATTATTTCTTTTCACCTTTATGACACCTAAGATAAGGATCAATTTTTACCTGTATGATACAGACAAGGAAAATGTGCCTGTATCAGTGAAGCTAACTCTAGATGCGGTAATAGATAAACCCCACATTATCAGGGGCTCAGCACAATAGAAGTGTATTCCCTGCTAACACACAGGCACACCCACACACCACTTCCAGCACTGTGGCTTTTCACGTGGGGTTTCAGGCCCCAGGCCCCTTCCGTCTGTGGCTCTGCCCTTCTCTAGCCATCAGCACCTTCTCTAGCAGGTAGGGGAAGAGCCAGAGTCAAGGAGCACGTGGACATGTCAATGGCCAGGTCTGGGTGCAGCAGACGTGCCTCCCATGGACATCCCATTGGCCAGAGTCAGTCCTGGGGCGGCTCCTGGCTTCTCCCCTGTGCCCAGTGGAAAAGGAAATGATTTGAGGATGAACAAGCTGTCTCTGCCACAGTCCCAGTGTGTAAGGCACTGGTTGAAGGTCACACAGCTAATAAAAAACAAAGCAAAGACTCAAAATCAGGACTATGGTGTCCTCGTCTACCTGGTCATCCTGCCCTCTTGCAGGTCCCTGGAGTCTCCCCCTTCAGTGATGTTCAATAGGCCCTGGCTATGAGCACCCACTCAGGGCCTCGATGCCAGCATGACCACTGAAAGGGGTAAAAAAAAAAAGTCTAATGAAAACGATGATTTTAAATACAAACCCATCAATAATTCTTGTACAATATTTTTCCCTAGGTTTTATTCTTCCTTGATTAACTCCTGCAACTCCCCATCAAACATAACACCAGTTGTAACACAGTTCCTTTCTGTGCTTATGATCTGTGTTGCCATATAGAGGTTGGGTTTGCAAGAGTGACATTTCAAAGGCTCCTGCCCTGCTTTGGAGGGCCCCTTCCAGCCAGTGGGATCTGCTGCCACTGGTTGGAGGGTGGTGCTGGATTCTGTCTCACGTTCTGAATGGTAATTGTTTCCAGGAATGTCGGCAAAAAAAAAAAAAAAAGAAAGAAAGTAAAAGCTAAGTATAAATATGAACTTGGCTGACTAATCACCATCATTAACCAAAAGATTTATCATCCAAACATGGTCTAAAGAAATACAGATACCTGGATATACCTATTTACTTACAAACATTTATTTAAAGAAATAAGCAGGGATCCAATTAATATCATCTAGACAGTTCAAACACATTTTCTTATCTGACCACCACATGAACCCTGCTGAGACAGCTTTCCTTTCCTTGTTATGTCAATGGTGGCTGGTGATATTGGATGGTGAGTAAGTGGGTTGGTGTTTATCTTCTTGGCAACCTCTTGCTGCTGGAAACCTTTTGCTCCCTGAACCTGTTTCTTGTCTATAGAAAGAGCAAAAATTAGTAAAAAAAATAATAATAATAATAATAATAATAATACAACACCTACTTCTTAGGATCTGTAAGAGAATCATGCGGGATAATAGATTTATAGCATCTGGGACATGATCAGAGTGACTATTTCAGTTACACTAATGAAATGGAGGCTCAGACAGGTAATTTTCTCAAAGCCAGATAGCCAGTGAGTGGTAAGGCTGGGATTTGAACCCAGGTCCATCTAAGTCTAATGCCTGAACTCCTTTTACCTGCTGCTGACTCTTTCTACTAGGAAGCTAGGCACAAAGACTCTTAAGCTTGACCGGCTCATAGTACGCAGGGAAGGGTCCTTTACACTTAATTTGTAAAACATCTCAATCACTGTCTAATCAAACTCTATGACTTTTCAGCATTGCTCTTCGTTCCTGCTTCTTGAACTGAAGCTGAGCTCATGTATGTGCAATCTCTCTCACCCAGGATGAATGCTCATCTGGAAATACAGGAGTTTCTGGAGCCATGTCTGAAAAATGCAGCAAAAATGGATCAGGGTTTCCACCCATCTCAGCCCACTGAGCTCGTGGTGAGGGCAAGACAGCAGCAGAGGGAAAGAGCATGCCATCTGAAGTCACAGGCTCCTAGCACCAGCTCCACCACTTAACAGCTGTTTATCCCCTGTGAGTCTCAGTTTCCTGAACTATGAGATGGAGACACCTGTAACACGCCTGTTTGCCTCACAAGGTTGAGAGGATTGGTTGAAGTCAAGCCGCTGAAAGCACACTGCAAACTGTAAAGTTCTATGTGATTTGTTTTTACCAACCAAACCACAATCCATTGCCAGACAGTTCTTCAAATAAGGGACAGACTTCTGGCTGGGCGTGGTGGCTCATGCCTGTAATCCCAGCACCTTGGGAGGCCGAGGTGGGTGGATCACCTCAGGTCAGGAGTTCGAGACCAGCCTGGCCAACATGGTGAAACCCCGTCTCTACTAAAAATACAAAAATTAGCCAGGCGTGGTGGCCGGCACCTGTAATCCAGCTACTCGGGAGGCTGAGGCAGGAGAATTGCTTGAACCTGGGAGGCGGAGGTTGCAGTGAGCCGAGATCACGCCATTGCACTCCAGCCTGGGTGACGGAGCAAGACTTCATCTCAAAAAAAAAAAAAAAAAAAAAAAGACAGATTTCTTTCCCTTAGCAATAATCATGACTAATATATTCCAGGATGTTTTGCACTTTCCTAGCCTTCAAATAAAACTAAACCCAAACAAGAATTTTGAAACGGTCTTTAATGCCACAACTCTTATTGAGTATCTCCTGTGCGAGGCCCTGTGCTGAGCATGCTGTGGAAGGCAAATATGACTAAGACTTAGCCCCCTGCTTGAGGAGTTTGGTGGGAGAGTTCAGACAATTACATGAAGTGTGTCATACCAGAAGAGGGGAACAAATAAAGTGTTAGAAAAGTGTAAGGAGGCAGAGCTTACTATTAGTTTAGTGAACTCAACGAAAGCTTTTGGGGGGACAGAATATTTCAATTGAGCCTTAAAAGTTGACTAATATTTGGGCAAGTAAAAATAACCACTTGAAACCCAAGCCAGGTGTAATCCCAGCTACTCAGAAGGCTGAGACGGGAGGATCACTTCAGCCTAGGTGTAATATCCCAGCTACTCAGAAGGCTGAGATGGGAGGATCACTTGAGCCCAGGTGTAATGCCAGCTACTCAGAAGGCTGAGATGGGAGGATCACTTGAGCCCAGGTGTAATCCCAGCTACTCAGAAGGCTGAGATGGGAGGATGACTTGAGCCCAGGTGTAATCCCAGCTACTCAGAAGGCTGAGATGGCGGGGGTGGGGGGGGGAGGGGGAAATCACTTGAGCCCAGGTGTAATCCCAGCTACTCAGAAAGCTGAGATGGGAGGATCAGTTGAGCCCAGTTCAAGGCCAGCCTGGGCAACATAGCAAGACTCCATTTCTAGAAAAAAGAGAGAGAGAACCACATGAGCAAAGGGTTGGGGCAGAAAAACATAGGCTATGTAGGCAAAGAGGAGACAGACTTGGACTTGACTGACTCAAAGGGCACATAACTAAGAGGCTGGGAAGCAGAGACACATAAGTGGGAATTGAAAGTCAGCCCAGTGGCTTGTTTTTTGAACAGGAAATAGAAAATTGATCCAGCAAGAGATTGCAGAATGGTTTGGAGCAGAGGGAGACCTAAGGCAGACAACACATTCCAGAGTTCATTGCAGTGGGCCAAATATAAGGAAATTCTGAATTAGGACAGCGGCAGTGGGAACAGGGAGATGCCTTATAAGAATAAAATCCAAAAGATGTGTCAGAATAAATAGTAGAAAAGACCTGGGACTGTAAAACCTGGTAAGCAAATGGGGGTTTGTTTCACTATTTCCAAAGCTTCACAGATTCATCCATTCTACAAAGATGGGTCAGACGCATGCTGGGGTGGAAGGTACGGCAGTGAGCAAGACAGACAGGATCCCTGTGGGGCTCACGTGCTCAGGAGGGAAACCTGAACAAGTAACTCAGTGCAGAAACAAGGTGGGCACATGGCAGTGTCCCTGAGATGGGGCCAGGGAGGAGGGGGGCTATTAAGGGAGGTGGGGGGGGGCCTCTCTGAGGAAGTGACATTTCATCTAAACTTAAATAATGAGCATGGAACAGCTGGATGAGAGTGGGGGAGAAGCGAATCTTCACGACTTTTTATCCAAAAAGCATTTTAGGGAGTTACTGTTTGTTTATTTGTTTATTTTTGAGAGACAGGGTCTCATTTGGTCACCCAGGCTGGAGTGCAGTGGCGTGATCAGAATTCACTGCAGCCTCAAACTTCTGAGCTCAAGTGATCCTCCCACCTCAGCCTCCTGAGCAGCTGGGACTACAGGTGCACACCACCATGCCCAGATAATTTTTTATTTTTTCATAGCTATGTTGCCCAGGCTAGTCTTAAACTCCTGGCCTCAAGTGACCCTCTCACCTCAGCCTCCCAAAGCACTGAATTACAGGCATGAGCCACTGAGGCCTGGCCATGAGAGTTACGTTTTGGTGTCGAGACACCAAGGTCCCTCTGTGGCCCTAAACAAGGGAAAATCTCTTATTTACTATCCTTTGGAATAGATGAGCTCCCTGTGTCTTGCATACAGTATACTCCCAACCTCTGATAATGTCTTCTTCCTCCCAAAGTAGCTATGAGAGAGTTTCCCATCTTTTCTTCCAAATAGCTGAACTTTAGATGTCCACATGAGTTTTCATTAAGTTTCTCCAAAAATCCAGCTTGATAGGTAATACTTAGCACCAAACTTAAGCGTCCCAGAAGCTCATAGACACTGGATAAACAAGACTTGTTCATCAATATAGAATATGACAAATGTCCCTGGTCCATTTAAGAGAGCAAAGGGTAGTTTTTAGAATAAGACAGGTGAACTTTTCTATCCAAAGGGTGAGTCAGCCCATCTGGTATGACAAATGCTGTTCCTGGCTTCATTCCTTGCCTGAGACCATTTGCCAAAACCTTTTTCATGAATCAGTAGTGAAGATAATCTAAGCTGTTCCCAGTAGACTCACTAGTGCATAGGTTCCAGGCATAAGACATCAATTTGGTTTGGTTATAAAATTTAATATTCTACAACTCACAGAGAATCTAATTCATTTGCCATCTGGTTTGGGAAGAAAGACCTCTGGAAACATTCAGGGGCCTTCAGGATTAATATTTCTCATCTTCTTCCCGGTCTTCCTCAAGATCTTTCCATTCACAGTAAAAGGTAATAATCTACCTGGAGTATTACCCTTTATTTCAAAAGCAATAAGTTCATGCCACCTGGTTTATTTTGTAATATATCTATGGATTTTCTCATTCTCTTGCCCTAACAGTTTCAAGCCACATTAAATGTTCTCTACCCCATCCTTGAGGGCTGTGAGTGTATAGACCCATCACATTACAACCTAATTATCTTAAAACACCATTTTATACTTTCGTGAAAGGTTTACAAAACACCTTCACTTACGTTATCTCAATTTGTTCTCATGCTGACCCTGAGAACACTCCTATGAAACAGGAAAATCATGCATTGTTATTCGCATTTTACAGACGAGGCTATTAAAGCCCAGGAAGGTGACATGGTCAAGATCTGGGATTCCTTCTTTGGTCTTCAGTGTGCATCCTGCCTAAAACACTTAACAGCCCTCATCCTCAGTACATCAGTACATCAGGGTAATGTCCCCTAACCTCAGCATTCCAGATTTTCTATCTAGTTTTCCAACTTTGTCTTCTCCAATATCAACCATCTGTTCCAATGCAGCTGGTGTTTCTAGTGTTATCTGAGTCTCTCATGCCCTAGAGGGCCTTAACTGGCTGCCCTGCATCCCCCTAGGAGCTGGTGGGTGGGCGGTCGGGAGCCTGAGTACCCTGCAGGGATGCATGTGGCACTTTGCATGTATGTGCTTGTGTGTATTTGTCTGAATTCATAACTTTCATTAGATCCACAAAGAGGTCTGTGGCATTCTCCCCCTACTAAAGGTTAAAAATCAATTTCACATACCGTTTTCCTTGCCCCCAAATGTGCTTTCCACTCCTCTTGACCTATTTAATGCTATGCCTCTTAATTTTTTTTCAGAACTTAAACAAAGCCAACTACTAACATTAGTGATCTGTAAATTTCCCTTTCTAGAAGAGTTTATTTGTTCTTTTCTTTCCAAAGATTAATTCAAAAAGGGAGAAGCTGAAGTATTCCTAGGGTGGCTTTTACATATGCAAATAACATGCCATAACTTATCCCAATTGATATAACAATTAGTTGTAAACCTTAATCATTCCCTTCAGGGTTGATTTAAATCCTTCCATTAGCACAATGGTGCTGTGTGATAAAGAGCATAAACAGCTCAATAGATACATCTAACCACATTGATACAGATAAGGTATCAGTTATGAAAACTATACTCTCCTCTGTAAGGATTGTGTAATGATATTCCAGATGAACAAAAATAGCAAAGGTTCAGCCATTCCCTGGACACCAAAACAAGCCAGCCTCACTGTTTATGGGGCCTGGAGGGCATAATGAGCCTTGTAAGAACACATTTGCTTTGGGAAGTGTCTTAGTGCATTCTGTGTTCCTTATGAGAGAATACCTGAAACAGGGTAATTTATAAAGAAATAATATTTATTTTTTACAGTTCTGGGGGCTGGGAAGCCCAAGGCCGAGGAATCACATCTGGTGAGGGCCTTCTGGCTGGTGGAGACTCTGCAGAGCCCTGAGGTGGTGCAGGGCGTTACATGGTAAAGGGGCTGAGTGTGCTGGCTCAGGTCTCTCTTCCTCTTCTCATAGAGCCACCAGTTGCACTCCCATGGTGATATGGTTATATGTGTGCTCCCTCCAAAACGTATGTTGAAATGTGATCTCCAATGTTGAAGGTGGGCCTAGTGGGAGGGGTCTGAATCACAGAGGTGGATTCCTCATGAATGGTTTGGTGCTGTCCTAATGATAATGAGTGCATTCTTACTTTGAGTTCACACAAGATCTGATTGTTAAAAGAGTGTAGCACTTCCCTCCTCTCTCTCTTGTTTTCTCTCTCACCATGTGACATGCTGGCTCCCACTTTGCTTTCTACCATGAATAAAAGCTCCATGAGTTCTCACTGGAAGCTGAGCAGATGCCAGCACCATGCTTCCTGTACAGCCTACAGAACTGTAAACAAATTAAACTTTTTTTCTATGTAAATTACTCAAAATCAAGTATTTCTTTACAGCAACACAAAAACGGACTAATACAGAAAGTTGATATCGAGGACCAGGGCATTGTTATAAAGATACCTGAAGATGTGGAAGTGGCTTTGGAACTGGGTAACAGGCAGAGGTTTAAAAAGTTTAGAGGGCTTAGAAGAACACAGGAAAATGAGGGAAATTTTGGAAGTTCGTAGAGACTGGTTAAATGGATCTGACAGCTGAGCTTCATCAGAAAAGTCCTATAGCCATGGCATCTGTATTAGTCATGGTTTTCCAGAGAAACAAAACTAATAGGACATATAAATAGATGTATATCTAGGGAAAGATTTATTATAAGGAATTGGCTCATGTGATTATGGAGGCTGAGGAGTCCCATGATTTGCAGTCTGCATGCTAGAGACCCAGGACAGCTGGTGGTGTAGCTAGAAGGCCTGAGAACCACAGAGCTGATGGTGCAGATTCCAGTCCTGTGCTGAAGGCTGAGAACCAGGAGTGCTGAGAGCAGGAGAATATCCTTGTCAGTCAGACAGAATTCAAACTTCTTCCTCCCTTTTATTCTATTCAGACCCTCGACAGATGGGACAAGGCCCCCCCTCATTGGGGAAGGCCATCTACTTCACTCATGCTGCTGATTCAATGCTAATTTCTTCCAGAAACACCCTTGCAAACACCCAGACTGATGTCTGACCAAATATTCGACCATCCCATGGCTCAGCCAAGTTGACCCATATGATGAACTATCACAGCAGCCACTGGATGCTGCAGCAAACTCATCAGTGTCTTCCTCAGGAGGGTTTGAGAATCCTGCTACTTGTCATCAGGAAAAGATATTTTGTCATTCTCGTCAATGTCTATCCCAAACCTTAAGTCCTTACTCCCAACCATCTCCACCTTCCTCATTTGCAGGAGACAAACATCACCCACTTGAGCCTATGAAGGCCCAAAACCTAAACACCTACTCTTCTGCTTCCTCCATTCTCAGAGGATGGGGTGCTGTTTCCCTTTTCTAGACCAACCCCTCCATCCTCGCCCCTCATCCAGTCCATCTTCCCTAGAGCCTTGATCTACCACATTTAGCAGACAGTATTCTATCTTCAGACTCTTCTCTTGTGACGCTACAGTTGACCCTTGAACAACATGGGTTTGAACAGCCTGGGTCCACTTATGCGTGGATTTTTTTCCAATAAAAGTTACACCAAGCGTGCCTGCTTCTTCTGCTTCCCCTTCCACCTCCTCCACCTCTTCTACCTTTGTCATCCCTGAGACAGCAAGATCAACCCCTCCTCTTCCCTCTCTTCCTCAGCCTAATCAATGTGAAGACAATGAGGATAAAGACCTTCATGATGATTCATTTCCACTTAGTGAACAGTACATATATTTTCTCTTTTTTATGATTTTTCTTAAAAACACTTTATTTTCTCTAGCTTAATTTATTGTAAGAATACAGTACATAATAATATAACACACAAAATATGCATTAATTGTCTGTTTATGTTATTTGTAAGGCTTTGTGTCAGCAGTAAGCGATTAGTAGTTAAGTTTTAGGGGAATCAAAATTATATATATGCAGATTTTCCACTGCGAGGGGAGCCAGGGCTCCTAACTTCTGCATTGTTCGGGGACCAACTATACCTTCTTTTGAAGCTCACACCACTGGCATACACCACCTGCCGTTTTTTTTTTTTTTTTCCTTAGTCACCACCTCCAAACCCCTGCACCATCCCTGTGGCCATTATTCTACGGCATTAACTCCTGACTCACTGGTGACCCTTCCCCTCTTTGTCCTTCCTTCATTTTGGAAACTTCACCATCCTTGTGAATGTCCTAGCCCTTAGAGGTTTGATGCCCTCTGCAGCAACCTTTTTCTTCCTCTCTCTCAGTCACCCTCTCGCAAGATCACACCCTAGACCTTGTCTTCACTAATAACTGTGCCATGCCTGAAATCCCTTTTTCAAATATCCCATAATCTGATCACCACCTCTCATCTTTCAAACATATTGGTTCTAGAGGCCCCAAAACATAATTTTTTACCTTATCAAGACTGGCAGTCTATAAGCCACAACTTTTTGTAATATTCATCATAAAATTATAATCATCAACTTGTAATCACTCTCAATTCCCTTGTCCTTTTCTGTTTTCCTCAGATACAGCAGGAAAAAGTCAAGACTGGGCAAATCTACTTTTGTGTGATTTCATCCAAGCAACCAAACACTGCTCAAGAAAAACAACACAGTTTGACTGGCTGGTTGCACAAGTTCAAAACCATGAATATCAAAAGGACACCCACGCTCCCCAGCAATCCTACCACCCAGTGAGTTTGCTTTCACACTCTCCTTGGGGATGATGGTATACTCTCTCTCTCCTCAAATCTCTTTTTCTCTCTCCACTCTCAGCTCATGGACTTACCTCATCTTTATGGGAAAAATAGAAGCACTCTATAGTTTGATGACAGCATAATTAAATCCCCAGCCCTGAGCTCTAAACTTTTATATCCAACAGAAGACTCAACGTCTCCCTTTGGATGTCTGATAAGCACCTCAAACTTAACGTATCCAAACAGCACTCCTAATTTCTCCCAAAGAAACTGTTTCTGTACCTGTTTTTCCAGTCTCAGCAAATGGCTCCACTTTCTACTCTGCTGCTTATTAAAGGGCTCACAGTCTTCCAATATGGCCCCATTGCTTGCTGCCTAGGCAATAACCACTCTCCTCTTCTTCCTTATTAACACGACTTGAGTTCACGGGGCTCAATGTGACAAGCCAAAATGTTTACCTCCCCAAACTTATTTACAGAGAAGAATAGTCATGTGACCCCAGTTTTGGCCAATAAGATATACTCAGAAGTTCCTGGGCGGGCTTTTCGAGGAAGCTCTTAAAAGGGGAAGACCCAGTGGGTATTACTGCTTTTGTCATTCCTCCTTTCTCTTTCTTCTTGGCTAAACTGCACACATGACGCCCGGAGGCACAGCAGCCATCTCACCAGCAGAACCAAGGTCGCACAGGTAGGAATGTGGAGCAGAACAGGTCTGGGTCCCTGATGGCATCACGGGGCAGCTGTATTAGCCTTGCACTGCCCATCTATGGACTTTTTGTTGCTTTTGAACAAATTAATCCCTATTTGCTTAAGCCATTACAATGAGGTTCCTGTTATGTGCAGGTGACTGCAATTTTAAATGCATGATACTGTTGAAAACGCAGGGCAATCCTTGCTTCAGAACTAACCATCTCCTCCCAAGAGAGGCAGATACTTTTCCTGGGTGTTCATTCCAACTGGTTTCTAAAAAAATGAGTTCTTAAACCCAAATGAGTTCCTAAATATACATTTTCTCCTTTTTCCTACACTTAGGACTCTAAGTTCTCCTGCTTTGGTTTTGAATTGCCACAAAAATATCTGTTTTTCTCCGCATGATTTCCCCACTAATACCTTTGGAAACTGGCATTTGGGATCCTCACATGTTCATTTGTGTGAGGTTTTTGTCCATCTAAGCTGCTCCATGTACATACACATCAGAGATTTCCTAAACTAAAGTTCTTTTTTTAACAAGCACCTATACAGTTCTTACTATTAATATGTGCCGAAACCCTGGTATAAGTGTTTTACAAATACAAACTCACTCAATTTTCACAACACCCAGGTACTATCTTTATCTCCATTATTGAAATGAGGAACTGAGGCACAGAGAGGTTAACTAAATTTTTCAGTATTGCTTAGCTAGTAAATAGCAGAACTGAGTTCAAACCCAGGCTTCAGAGATGGTGCACCATGCTAAGCTCACATGAATGGGGAAAACTAAACTAACCAACCAAACACAGAAACAACAAATATTCCAGAAGAACTTGAAAACCTACTACATTTAAACCACTGTCTAAACTGCAAAGAAATCCAGGAAATAAATAACACATGTTCTGTATTTTCCAAGAGCTTACAACAGAGCAGAGAGGAACCGTGTATCCAATAACTTACTGAAAGCAAATCATGATGACTCCTCTGGGATGAAAAGAGGTACAGAGCACAAACTTAGACCATGTAGGGATATGGGATAGCATTATGATAAAATTTCCCAGGAAGCATCCAGATGTCCCCATCCAGGTTGTGATGGGGCCATGGAGAACAATTTTTCTCAGCAAAACACAGCCATCTCACCAGCAGAACCAAAGTCGCACGGGTAGGAATGGGAAGCAGGACGGGTCTGGGTCCCTGATGGCATCACAGGGCAGCTGTATTAGCCTTGTACTGCCAGTCTATGGACTTTTTGGTGCTTTTGAACAAATTAATCCCTATTTGCTTAAGCCATTACAATGAGGTTCCTGTTATGTACAACTCTCAGCTTAATTGGCTATGTGACTTTGGTCAATTCACTTCCTTTCTGGGACTTGGACTTCAGCATATACAGAATGAGGGATCTGGACTTTACAAGGTTACTTCCAGTTTGACAGCTGGGGGGTTGACGTTTTCGGCAATGTTTTTGTTATGGAGACTCGCATTACTCATTCTGTAAGCCCCAGGCTAGAGCTTCTGTCCTTCCAGTTGGCTGTGATGTACATTAATATTATTTTTAAATTGGGAACCTCTTTCCATGTCAATAAACATACATTATTTCATGATTTTAATGCCTGCATAATACTATGTTGTATATACTCTACTTCATTTAACCAATCTTGTTTTATTCACAGCTAAAGTGTTTCCAAATTTGCTGCCATGAATATCTATGTATCCATATCTTTATGCCATGTCCAATTACTTCCTAAGAAAAATTCCCAGAAGTGATTTTTTTACATCAAAGGGAAAGCACAACTTTAAAGATTTTTGGTGCATATTGCCAAATGTCTTCCTGAAAATTTGCCCTTTTTACACTTGAACATATGAGAGTTCTTTCTTTCTCCCCATAACTTCATCAACCTGGAGTATCAAGTAAAAAATAAAATAAAAAAGAAGAAAATAAAAGAAGAAAAGTTGTTGCCATTTTCCTGGAAAAAATATTTTTATTGGTTTAATTTGTGTTTCCTTGATTACTAGTGGTGTTATCAGTGTTTCCTAGGCTTATAGGCCAGTCAGTTCTTCATTAGTGAATGGGCTATGTGATGGTTAATATTAGATGTCAACTTGATTGGATTGAAGGATGCCTAGATGGCTGGCAAAGCATTGTTTTTGGGTGTGTCTGTGAAGGTGTTGCCAGAGGAGATTGACTTTTGAGTCAGTGGACTGGGAGAGGAAGACCCACCCTCAATGTAGGTGGGCACCATCAAATCAGCTGCCAGTGTGGCTAGAACAAAACAGACGGAAGAAGGTGGGGTAAGCTGGCTTGCAGAGTCTTCTGGCTTTCATCTTTCTCCTGTGCTGGATGCTTCCTCCTGTTCCTCCTGCTTGGACATCAGATTCCAGGTTCTTCGGCCTTTGGACTCTGGGACTTACACTAGTGGTTGGCTGGGGGCTTTTGGGCCTTTGGCTGCAAACTGAAGGCTGCACTGTCAGCTTCCCTGCTTTTGAGGCTTTTGGACTCGGACTAAGCCGCTACTGGCTGCTTTCTTCCCCAGCTTGCAGATGGCCTATTGTGGGACTTCGCCTTGTGATTATATGAGCCCATTCTCCCTAACAAACTCACTTTCATATATACATATATCCTATTAGTTATCTTCTTCTGGAGAACTCTATTTATGGCCTTTATCCATTTCTCTGTTGGTGCTATTCATGTTTTGCTTGTTGATTTAGAAAGCAATATATTTTGTATTTTTTATTACTGTTATATAGCTATTTTAAAGCAATTAACCCATGATTTATTACATATGTTGTAAATATTTTCTTCATTTTATCGTTTGCTTTTTAATATTTTTTATGGCTCTTTAGATGAACCAAATTGGTTAACTGAAGCAGGCAAAGGTCTTCTGTCAAGGGCTGGATAGCAAATATTTTAGGCTTTATAGGTCCTACAGTCTCTGATACAACCACTCAACTCTGCTGTTGTAGCTACAGACAATTCATTAATAAACGGACATGGCTGTGTTCCAACAAAACTTTATGTACAAAAACAGGTGGTGGGCAGCTGGAGTTGGCCTACAGGCTGTAGTTTGCTAACCCCCAATCTATACAACTGTTTAATTTTCCCCCTGAGGTTCTGATGGTTAGCCCTTCTAACTTTAGCAGTATCTCATCCTAATTCAGATCTGTTCCTTGAGGAAGCCCACAGTGAGTGGCACACACAGCCTGCAATCCCTGACTTGTCTCTTTCCCAGGACAGTCCACCATCTCTATGCCACTCATTCAGTGCTGCTTTGTTCAGAGCGAATCCCCAACCGTTTTGGCACCAGGGACCGGTATTGTGGAAGACAATTTTTCCACAGGGGGCGGGGAGTAGCTGCAGATGAGGTGGGAGAATTCGATTCTTATAAGGAGCTCATAAGGAGTGTGCAACTTAGATCCCTCACATTCGCATTTCACAATAAAGTTTGCACACCTATGAGACTCTAATGCTGCCACTGATCTGACAGGAGGCGGAGCTCAGGTGACACTACTCACTCGCCCAATGCTCACTTCCTGCTGTGCGGCCTGGTTCCCAACAGGCCAGAGATCGGTACCAGTCTATGGCCCAGGGGTTGGGGACCCCTGGTTTAGAGGACCAAATGCTGCCATGGTTCTAGATATTTACTTCCAATATGTCATTTTATGAAATAAAAATGTAAGATCATTCCTTGATTTTGTATTTCTTTAGAGTTTTTCCAAAACATAGTTTGGAAAAAGATTATTTCCCATATTTCCAAAGAAAAATCATGGCTTTCTCTGAAATATCTGAGTTTCCATAAATTCATTGTTTCACTTAATCACATGTGGCATTTGCCACCATCTTATGGGTTAGGTTTCTGAGGCTGGCTCTTTAGAGATGCGTATTTTCCCTTTGGTTCTCTGCCTGCAATCAGGGTGGTTGCCAACAGGTAAAATATAGGGCCTTGGGAATGGCCTATGATCTGAATTATTAGATGTCCTCTAAGTACGTTAAAGTGAGAAAAAAAGACAGTATCACATTTTCCTGCTCAATTATACGTTTCATTCTATGTTATGAAGATAATACTTTATTAAGACAGACAAGCATAAGTATTCAAAAGAACTAAAATCACTAAATTTAAACTGATAACACACCACTGAAATTATTCTTTAAAGAAGGTAAAGCACTGAGGTAATGATATAAGAAACATAGTTAATATTTTGGAATATTTACTATGTGCCAACATTATGCTAAGTACTTTTCAAGCATTCACTTATTTAACCCTTACAACCCTACAGAGTGTATACTAACATCAACCCATTTTATAGACAAAGTCACTGATTCTTATAGACATACATTTCTTGCTTATGTTCACACAGCTAATAACGGTGCATGAACTTAAAACCTGGTGTGTCTAAATTAAGGGTGCATGCTCTTTAAATTGCTTTTCTCAATAATTCTGAATCATAATTCTTAAAAAGTCCTCCCCTCTCCATACCCCCAATAATAGTAGTAGCAGCAACAGACATTTGTACAGTGCTCAGTATGTGCCAGGCCTTGTTCTAAGAGTTTTCCATTTATTAACCTATTCATCCTCCTGTTGACAAAAAGTCAAACTCTGTAAAAATATTTTAAGAGATTTATTCTGAGCCAAATATGAGTGACCACAGCCCATGACACAGCCCTCAGGAGGTCCTGAAAACATGTACCCAAGGAGGTTGGGATACAGCTTGGTTTTACATATTTTTGGGAGGCACGAGACATCAATCAAATACATTTAAGAAATACTCAGCAGACTTTAGAGAGAGCAGGTTGTAAAATGTTTCTTATCAGACTTCAAAGGGTGCCTGGCTCTTAGTTGATTATCTCCTGGATCTGGAAAGGAAGGAAGGAAAACAAGGGGGAAAGGGAATTCTCTACAGAATGTGGATTTTTCCCACAAGAGACTTTGCAGGGCAATTTCAAGATATGGCAGAGAAACATGTTTTAGGGTAAAACATTTTATTTTCTTCCTCGTTATACCAGAGTCAGATTGGAAAGTAAGTCATGATATACAGGGTTAAATAAAATCCATCTGATGAGAATTTATGGTTTGTAGAGTATGACTCCCTAGAACCCTTAGATAGGAATTTGGGCAAGACAAAAAAAATCAGAGCTTAGTCCTCACTCCTTAAAACTTTATTAAGTAGGTATTATAAGTATCCCCATTTTTCAGATGAGGAAACTGAGGCACAGAAAAGTTAAGTCAGTAAATATCAGAGCCAGGAGTTAAACCCAGACAGTCCTAGCTGGCTTCAGAATCCATGCTTGTAACAGCCATGGTTCAGTTATAGGATGTTTAGAAATCACAGGAAAACATGAAAATCACTAACCACTGTCAATTACAGCGTCATATATCTCTTGTTGATTTGAAGAGGACGCACAGCTTCATTCTAAAACATATCAAGTAATCCCAGCTACTTGGGAGACTGAGGCAGGAGGATTGCTTGAACCCAGGAGGCAGAGGCTGCAGTGAGCTGAGATCGCGCCACTGCACTCCAGCCTGGGTGACAGAGCCAGACTCTCAGAAATAAATAAATAAAATTTAAAAAATAAAGCATATCAAGTTTTTCTTTCTGTTGGACCTTCCCATGGCTTTTGGTGGCAAAACCCCTTGCAAAACAGCTTTCTTCCAGGCTTAGAACTCTTTTAGCAAGTATGGTCCTCCAACTACTTCCAAATGAGGGCATTATGTTGCTTTCTTAGAATGACCCCATCATCTCTTTGAGAAGCAAGTATTCTTGAAATTTTTTATATGCAAATTAAAAAGGAACATACAATCCTACTATCTACTTAGATAACTTGCTGCTGGGAAATCAGTAATTTCTGCGTTAGTTCTTCCTAGCAGAAGGAAGTCATTTCCCTTTCTTTTAACCTGGGCAGTTTGCTCTGTGAAGTTGCCACTGAAGTTGGTCCTTTTATTTGTCCCTTGGAAGTCATCAGTAATTCTGACGCAGCCTGCTTTAGCAAGAAAGGTTTCAATAGCAACATAGGCTTATCAGTTCATAATATTTTATAACACACATAAAATGAACGTAACACTTTGAAACATGGAAGAAAGAGGTTTAGCCAAGTCCAGACATGAGCTTGCAGTCTAGAGAGGAGAGGCATGCCTCGTGAGACACTGACTGTGCACCCATGGTGGGCATGCTAGTGCAAGTTGATGCCCTGGGGACATTTGGTGACAGTATTAAGGTGTGTCCCAAGACCTTCATTACAACTGTCTTTTCTGTATCACCCCTACCATTGCTAAATGTGCCTCCACTCCAACCTGTGAATGAGCTGGGCCTATACCTAAGGGACTGGCCAAGTTACTTCGAATAAGCCCTCATGCAACTGAAACAGGACATTAGGGCTGACCTGATAAATGACTGCGAAAGGAGCTTTTGATAATGAAAATCTTAGCCTGGGTGCAGTGGTTCATGCCTGTAATCCCAGCACTTTGGGCAGCCGAGGCAGGGGGATCATCTGAGGTCAGGAGTTCGAAAACAACCTGGCCAACATGGTGAAACCCCGTCTCTACTAAAAATACAAAAATTCGTGTGGTGGTGGGCACCTGTAATCCCAGCTACTCAGGAGGCTAAGACAGGAGAATCACTTGAACCCGGGAGGCAGAGGTTGCAGTGAGCCGAGACTGCACCACTGTACTCCAGCCTGGGCAAAACTCTGCCAAAAAAAAGAAGAAGAAGAAAAAAAATCTTAGTTGTGTCACAGGTGGATGTTTTGACCCCGGTTGTCAGCCAAAGCCTTTGACAATAGAGATAGACAAGGAGGGGCCGCTGAGGGGCAGCCCAGCAGCTTACTGAGAATGAAGCTGTCATTCTTTGGCTGACAAAATGTAATTTGCTAACCATCCTGCCAAATAGGCGTGCTCCATCCTGCCAAATAGGGACTGACTATTCTATTATCTGTAGTCCTACCTTTCTGGATTTAACAGCCTCAGAGGCTGGTTTATAGTTTACACTTCAATAAGATCTCAGATCAATTCCAACATGTGAGGAAATCCAATAAACAGGGACACTGAAATTTATGTGTTTATTTAAAGCTTGCTGTGAAACAATTACATGAATCTCACTTATAATCATCTATTACAGTTTATAAGTTACTATCCACAGCAGATTTTGTTTGAGACAGGAAAATAAATTACATTCTCAGCATCTTGTAGAATGTCTGCCTGACAGTTCAAGATGAGAAGTTGTAAAGTCCCCTCATGAAAATATGAAACCAGGGGCTGCATTGGTTGTAGCTGGTGTGTGTGTGTGTGTGTGTGTGTGTGTGTGTGTGTGTGTGTGTGTGTGTGTGTTCTCCACTTCAGTGAAAGGAAAGCATAGTTAAGGAGCAGGATGCTGCAATCAGTCAACCAACTGCTATCTAGTGATGTCTTCTCTGTTCAGGGCAGTCTGCTAGCTAGCCAGGGGCTATACGGAAGCCCAAGGCAGCATCCTTTCAGGAAACTGAATACCCATCTAAAAATAATAGTAACACCACAAGACAGAATGTGCTGATGTTCAAAGGAAGATGAAACAATAGGCATTGTGGGAGAAAAACAAGTGCCTGCTGGGTGATCCAGGAAGACTTCCTAGAGAGGATGGAATTTGGCATGGGCTCTGAGAGTGGATGGTGTTTGAGAGGCAGGGACAGAGGACATCCAGGAGGAGAAACCACCTGAGCTGAGGCATAGAGGGCGGTGCCTGAGGTATGTTGGGGAAGAGCAATGGCTCTCACTGGGGGCAGAGAACTAGGGTAAGAAAATGAGGGGTTAGGCCAGAGAGGAGGTACAGTGGGGAAAGGTTGGAATGCTGCCCTTTCTCTGTATCAGAAATAGTCTTCTAACAGGTACCTATTAGAATGCCTTTACCCTGAGAAATGCTCAGGGGAACTTCAGAAGCCTCGTGCACTCCTCCAGGCTCTGAGAGACCCTTGGGAACCCACAGTCTTGTAAAATAATTGGTTCCCTTGTGCCCTCCATGAGTGAATGAGGAATTAAGTAAGACACAGTTCACCCAACCAGATAGATATTATGTAGAAATTCCACCTTCTGATCTCTCCTCTTCATCATTACTTTTTAGATGAAAACACTGAGAAGCCAGGAACAGCATCAGAAAGTCTCTCCCTCTCACACAAGGAGCAAACTAAGCAGAACATCAAAAAGATTGTGCTAGAACTGTAAGGAGAAACTTCATTCGTGTGTTTAATTGAGCTCCTGTTATTTTGCCAGGCAAGGGGCTAGGCCTTGGAGATACAGCAATGAAACGGACCAGGCAAGATCCAAAGCTTCATGCAACTTGCAAACCATTGAACAAGATAGATATTAAACAAATTAATGCGTAGATAAAAGTTGGAAAGAAATATGGAGGAAAAGTTTTGGGAGCTATCAGAGACTACAACAGGAAAGGCCAGGAAATGCCTATTGGAGGAGGTGACATTGAGGCTGAAATCTGAAGGGCCAGTGAGAATTATTAGCCCAGTGAAGAGAGTAGGAGGAAAAGCATTTGCTTCGTCACTCATTCCTTACTCTCTATGCCTGGATACCTTCTTTAGTTATCTTGATGACCTTAGAAACTACCATGACTGTGCGTCTCTAATTCCCTGAAGGCTGAGACAGTCTATTCAGCCTGAAGTGAGTCTACAGTATTTTTTTCTCTTCATAATATAGAGGCACCTCCCACATCCCAGGATGTAGCTACGTTGGCAGCCCTTGGGTATTTGCAGGTGCTGCAATGGGTCTTCCTACAGTTTGCTTTACAGTTAACATGAGACAGTGCTTGCTTGAATCCACCTACAGGCTGTTTAATCTTTGTCCTCAGATCTCATCGTCTTTCACATTGTAGGTCACCTCCTTTCTGAAATTCTGCCCTTCTTTGTCTCCATGACACCGTCTTTCCTCTGTTCAAACTCTCTGGCAACTTCTCCATCTGCTGTTTTCCATGCTATCAGTTGAGATCAGGTTTGGCCAGAAGCAGAGGCCCACAGTAGCAGCGGCTTACACAAGATGGAAATCCATCTCTCCCTCACGTAAAAGCCTGGGGATTGGCAATCCAGGGCAGGTATAGCGGATTCCCCAAATCATCTAGAGGCCTGGCCCCGTGCCAGCCTCTACTGCTCCATCTTAAGGTGGAACACTCATCCTCCTGGTCCAAGAAGACTGCTAGAACTCCAGCCCTTCACATCAGGATTCTAGGAAGCAGGATGAAACTTGGGACAAATAAAAAGGGGACAAAAGACGTCAAGTGTCTATTAGGACAGGTTCCTGGAAGTGATTACGTGACACTCACTCTTTTTAAAAATATATCTGTTTTTAATTGGTATATCATAATTGTATATTCTTAAATCTCTTGGCCAAAACTTAGTCCCATGGTTACATCTAGTGATAAAGGAAAGTGGAATATATAGTTTTTATTTCAGATAATTCTGTGCTTAACTAAAAATGTGGGTTTTGTCATGGAAAAAGGTGAGAATGAATAATAATGAACAACCATCTTGATGGGTATGTCTAGTAACTTGGTTGTGGTGATGGCATCACAGGCATATGCATATATCCAAACTCATCAAGATACATGTAGCAAATGCGTACAATTTTTGTATATCAATCATACCTCAATAACGCTTAAAAAAAAGGTCAGTGTGAAAGCACTGATCTGTGCTACACACTGACGGATGTGGGTGTCATCAGGAATTTCGACTTGTATAGTCCGAAACTTGCCAGTCTCATCCAACTGGGATTGTGTGCAGACAATGTCCACATTTCTCACTTCCTTTCTTTTTTTCTGAGATAGAGTTTCACTCTGTTGCCCAGGCTGGAGGTCAGTGGTGTGATCTCGGCTCACCGCAACCTCCTCCTCCTGAGGTTCAAGTGATTCCCCTGCCTCAGCCTCCTGAGTAGCTGGGATTACCGATGCCCACCACCATGCCCAGCTAATGTTTGTATTTGTAGTAGAGAGGGGTTTCACCATGTTAGCCAGGCTGGTCTCAAAATCCTGACCTGTAGTGATCCTCCCGCCTCGGCCTCCCAAAGTTTTGGGATTATAGGCTGGACCCACCATGCCTGGCCCACATTTCTTACTTCTTGACTTTCTCCTAAGCTCAACCACTGCATCCCAACTATCTGCAGTATACCTCCGCCTGCTTGTCTATAGATCTCAAAGTCAACACCTCCAAAATGTCAATCATTCAATTCCTTCCCACATCCTGCCTTTCTTCTGTGTTTTTATGCTGCCATAAAGTGATCCCAGACTTTCCTCCACTCAACACATACTACTAAGCTCCTACTGCGTGAGAGACTCCATTCCAAGTGCTTGGGATACCTCGTGGAACAAAACATACACGCACACACTGAGTCCCCACCTGAGGAGCTGGTGTTCTAACCTCCTCCTGTTTTGCCTCAGTCTTCTTCATACCCTGCATTCTAGGCAAACTGAGTTACCTGCTATGTTCATGTAGGACCTGTCCTTTGCTTGTGTCCTCTTTCCAGAATGTTCTTTTGTTGATTTCTTACTAGCAGTGGCTCTCAATCAGGGTGATTTTGCCTGGAGACATTTTTGGTTGTCACAGCTGGACGGGGTCCTATTGGCATGCTGGTGGGTAGTAAGCCAGGGATGCTGCTGAACATCCTGCGACGTATGGGCAACCCCACAGTAAAACAGTGATCTGGCCCCGAGTCTGCGACGCATGGGCAGCCCCACAGTAAAACAGTGATCTGGCCCCGAGTCTGCGACGCATGGGCAGCCCCACAGTAAAACAGTGATCTGGCCCCGAGTCTGCGACGCATGGGCAGCCCCACAGTAAAACAGTGATCTGGCCCCAGTCTGCGACGTATGGGCAGCCCCACAGTAAAACAGTGATCTGGTCCCGAGTCTGCGACGTATGGGCAGCCCCACAGTAAAACAGTGATCTGGTCCCGAGTCTGCGACGTATGGGCAGCCCCACAGTAAAACAGTGATCTGGTCCCGAGTCTGCGACGTATGGGCAGCCCCACAGTAAAACAGTGATCTGGTCCCGAGTCTGCGACGTATGGGCAGCCCCACAGTAAAACAGTGATCTGGTCCCGAGTCTGCGACGTATGGGCAGCCCCACAGTAAAACAGTGATCTGGTCCCGAGTCTGCGACGTATGGGCAGCCCCACAGTAAAACAGTGATCTGGTCCCCAGTCAGTAGTGCTGAGACTGAGAAACCCTGTACTAGAGTCAAGTCATACGTATCCTTCGATGCCAGCTCTCATGTCACTTTCATGAAATGTCCATGATGTTTTCTCCCATTTCTGTGCTCTCAAACCTACCTGTGTCTCTACTGAAATCCTAGTTCCCGTGTGTACCTCTGTGATGACGCTCATCGCTTTTCATAGGCCGTAAAAGTCAACAAGGCTGAATTTATACCTGATTCATCTGAGTTCTCAGAGGCTAGCACAGAGCTTAGTGTACAGCAAAAAGGTACTCAAATATGTGTTCTACACAGGAGTGGGGAATACGCAAGCATCTGTCTCTTCTCCCAGACTGCATCTCCTAGGAATTAGACTGAAGATTCTAGCTTCAGAAGGGAAACTGCCAGGCTCCTTCAGCCACATCTGGAAGAGTTTCAACTGGCATCAAGCCACAAGAAAGACTCTGCCTCTACCGGCCTGAAAGGGAAAGAGCCAGTGGAAAAAGAGACTAAACAAACATGGCAGGAAATATGACTCTGTGCACCCTCAGAGGCTCCCTGCAAAAGTAATCAAAAGCAGGAAAAACCTTTGCTTAGATGGGAGCTTGACCAGCTTTGCAAGTGAGTTAGGGCAACGAGTAGCCTCAGCTGCCCTTGGAATCCTCACAAAGCAGAAACCAGGAGCCACGTGCAGCTAGCTGCACCCAGGGCAAGCTCCCAGCCAAGGGGCTCTGTGCTGTTTCTGGGCCACTCCCGGTGAGGGCCTGAGCACAGACATTGCTGTGGCTGAGTTTAGGATGGTGTGTCAACTATCACTTATTCACGGAACTTTTTTTGGCCAAGTCCTTGAGTTGTCTGGGAGGCTGGAGTGTCCTGGCAAGCCTGGAAAACTGTGGAATCTAAACAAACTGGCTCTGTTATCTCAGGTTCCTGTTGAATCCAGATGTGCCAGCTTTAGCCTTCTCATCTAGCTGCTGAAAGCCAGGAGCTCTGCTAGGCACCACTGTTAATCTTCCTGGCAGCTGAAATGGCAATAAGGTCTGTGGGGTCCCAGTTCTGAATCTCCGAAAGCAGGCACAAGGTAGCTTTGGGGCTTTTGCAAAAGGAGTGATTGAAATCAGATGGAGGAGAAGAAAATGGCTCAAAGCTGTAGTCAAAGCCCAAAGCCACAGAGCTTTCGGTGAGCACTTTACTGCTAGATCTGTTCCACTGGGGAACATGTGTCACTCATCCAACTTAATGCAGAACAGACACAACAATTAGTTATGTCTCTTACCATCACCTAATTCTCTGCTTCCACGTGCACCTAATTCTCTGTTTTCACATTCGTGCACCATGGTGGGGTTGAATGTTGAGAGAGGGTGGGCCAGGAAGAAGCCTGCTAACATGTTTTTTTCCTTTATGCAGGATTTTGCAGGTTTAAGCAGGAAGCAGAGAGTGGGTGTCCTTTCCAGGAAGGAAACAGTGGTATGCGGCATGGACCATGTGGTTGGCTTTCTGCTTTAAGGTTCAGCCATGGGATGAGACTCCAACTCTATGTCCTAAATCAGCCTGTCCAACAGAAATACAGTACCAGCCACAAATGCAAGCCACACACGTCATTTTATTTTATTTTATCTCTTTTTTAAATTTTATTATTATTATACTTTAAGTTTTAGGGTACATGTGCACAATGTGCAGGTTACATATGTATACATGTGCCATGTTGGTGTGCTGCACCCATTAACTCATCATTTAGCATTAGGTATATCTCCTTCCCCCTTCCCCCACCCCACAACAGTCCCCGGTGTGTGATGTTCCCCTTCCTGTGTCCATGTGTTCTCACTGTTCAATTCCCACCTGTGAGTGAGAACATGCGGTGTTTGGTTTTTTGTCCTTGCAATAGTTTGCCAAGAATGATGGTTTCCAGTTTCATCCATGTCCCTACAAAGCACATGAACTCATCATTTTTTATGGCTGCATAGTATTCCATGGTGTATATGTGCCACATTTTCTTAATCCAGTCTATCGTTGTTGGACATTTAGGTTGTTTCCAAGTCTTTGCTATTGTGAATAGTGCCACTCTAAACATACGTGTGCATGTGTCTTTATAGCAGCATGATTTATAGTCCTTTGCGTATATACCCAGTAATAGGATGGCTGGGTCAAATGGTATTTCTAGTTCTAGATCCCTGAGGAATCGCCACACTGACTTCCACAAGGGTTGAACTAGTTTACAGTCCCACCAACAGTGTAAAAGTGTTCCTATTTCTCCACATCCTCTCCAGCACCTGTTGTTTCCTGACTTTTTAATGATCACCATTCTAACTGGTGTGAGATGGTATCTCATTGTGGGTTTGATTTGCATTTCTCTGATGGCCAGTGATGATGGGCATTTTTTCATGTGTTTTCTGGCTGCATAAATGTCTTCTTTTGAGAAGTGTCTGTTCATATCCTTTGCCCACTTTTTGATGGGGTTGTTTTTTTCTTGTAAACTTGTTTGAGTTCTTTGTAGATTCTGGATATTAGCCCTTTGTCAGATGAGTAGATTGCGAAAATTTTCTCCCATTCTGTAGGTTGCCTGTTCACTCTGATGGTAGTTTCTTTTGCTGTGCAGAAGCTCTTTAGTTTAATTAGATCCCATTTGTCAATTTTGGCTTTTGTTGCCATTGCTTTTGGTGTTTTAGACATGAAGTCCTTGCCCATGCCTATGTCCTGAATGGTATTGCCTAGGTTTTCTTCTAGGGTTTTTATGGTTTTAGGTCTAACATGTAAGTCTTTAATCCATCTTGAATTAATTTTGTATAAGGTGTAAGGAAGGGATTCAGTTTATTAAATTTTCTCATAGTAACATTAAAAAATGTAAAAAGAAATGAATGCAATTAATTCTAATAAAATATTTAAGCCAAAATATCAAAAATATTATCATTTCAACATGTAATCAATATGAAGAATATTATTTATAAGACAACTTACATAATTTTATTGTACAAAGTCTTTGTAATTCATTGTGTAGTTTACACTTACAGAATGTCAATTTGAACTAGCCACATTTCAAGGGCTTAATACCCTTGTCTGAAATGCTTACCTGCAGTGCAAACCCAGAATAATTTCGTCCTTTCACAAGGTACCAATTAGTGCCCAGGCACTAACGTATCAAATATACAACAGGGGGCTAAAATAGCACTTGAAATATAGTGAGATGGGGATTTTTAAAAAAAATTTACCAGAATCCTCTCAAGGGGAACATGTATCATATGTGGTTGGGAGAAATCCTTTGAAAAGTTTGCCATGGCCAAGACAAGGGTAGGAGTTGGAGATGCAGAAGCTCCCACGAAGAACTCCTAGGTCATAGGTCGATGGCTGAACTTGGATCTCTCAGAGATTTCACCATTTTTAAAAATTACTTTTCTAGGGCCAAGACAAAGGGCAATAGTGACTCAATTTATTATTGGAGAAATTTTAACAACTTCAATCTCTAATAAGAGGGCCTTAGCAAAATTGTGAACTACCCACATGAAAGAATATTTTGCCATGATTAAAATACTATTTAGAAACATGGGGATATACCTAATATAGAATGGCAAGTAGAGGAAGAAAGCAGAACTGAGTGTAATTATTCATACAAGCTGAACCATATTTAATAAGTGCAAAAGAAATATGCCAAAATATTGCCATTGTTTTTATTAGGAAGTAGCATCATGGGTGATTTTTCTGGACTTTTCAATGTTTTTCTAATGAACATATATTACTTTGAGGATTATCAGGAAGGGGATAAAACAAAACCCAGTGACTCACTTGCCAGAATTTCCCCTGTTCTGTAACTACTTAATTATATATGTGTATTTACAATGCGTGTGTCTTTTGTAGGTATGCAAGTGTGTGTGCACATGTGTGTACATGGGTGCATGTGTACCTTCCTGAGTTGTCTCCTGAGCCTCATCTCAGACTAAAGCTCCAGAGATCTAGGAAAAGGCAACCCTCTTCCACTCTAACATAATTATTTCCTTGAATTTTATTAATTTGGATAGAACATCATGTCTATAGCAATTCTGTTGCCATTTCTAATCCCCATATCCCCAATTGCTTTTTGAGAGATAATATCTCTTATGAACATTTCTAGCTAGATATAGAATGATTTCTCCTGTTCACTTTATGTGTAAATAAGACAATAAATCATTTCTGATCTCCAGGTTCCCTCTCCTAAATTTCAATCCAGAAGCAAGGAACCTGAGATGATTATGTAGCCAGAAAATCATGCCACATCACTTTCATGACATCTAATCATACCGGCCTGACTGAACAGCTTTTCAGAAGATCATTTTACATAGCCTGTTTTATACTATAGGGTTAAGAGGGAGAAAGAAAACTGATAATAAACAAGAAGTAGAAAATTTAAACTATTTGGAAAAAAGTCGCCAAGTAATGATAAGAAATGGGGTAATCATTAAATACTTTAAGACTGCAACATATTCAGCTAAGACACATATGCTAAGAAGATAAAAGTTTATAGAAGAAAATAATATATTATGAGTAATTCTTTTTCCAGGAGTACAGTAAATTAGATTCCCTGACAAACCCACCTACATAAAATGACTCAAATACTGAATAATAAATGTTTTAAAATATATTTTGTATATTAACTTGCGTAAAAGTAAGTATATGCCAATCTCCCAAGTGAAGTAAGACACAGAACTCTAGAAGCACCAAAGCAAGCATCTATCATGGAGAATTTTGCCAAAATCCAGAATCCTTGAGTTTCTATTTTAATGACTACACCACGTACAGGTGGCAGAAAGTAAAGCCCAAAACATACCCAGGTGGGGAATAAAAATGAGATTCCCCCAAAAAGCTGAGACTCCAAAGAACTTTACCCACAGTGAAGCCCCACTGAAAAGAAAGGAATAGCAAGGAAATTTACTATCTCAACCCCAGTGTTGGAAGGAGTAAATTAAAATAATCCCCTGATAATTCATAACTATAAGTTGGGCTTCATGTGGACCTGAGTTTCTGTTATCTATGTAGTCTGAAAACCCTAAAAAGGAAAATTTAATTTAAGGTGGACATTGATGGATAGTGTTTAAAAGTGACTGGCCGAAAATACTCAACTTTAACCTAGACCTCAAATAATCTGCATAAATACATTTCTAGTAAAAAGGAGCAGTTCATGGTCACAATAACAAAATGCAAGAAAACACGGCACTTCTAGTCCCTTTAAATAATGGAATAGTTATCTAGACAAATCCTTCCAATAAAAAAAAAGAAACTAAAAATTCTGATGTTAAAAAACAAACAGCATTAGAAGGTAGGAGAGTTCTGCTTCTGGGGAGATGAAGTAGGCATACTTTTCTCTATTCTTCCCACTAAGTGCAAGTAAAAACCTTGGTAATTATACATAAAGCATTCTCAGATGAAGGAAGACCAAGAGAATCTATCACTAGCACACCTACCCTAAAAGAATGGCTAAGCGAAGATCCCTAAACAGAAAGGAAACAATAGAAGATAAACCTTAAAACATGAGGCAGGAGAAAACTAACATTGTAAGCCAAATTATGGGTAAATACAATAGGCCCTCCTTTTCCTCTTGAGTATCCTAAATTATGTTCGATGGCTGAAGCAAAAAATTATAACACTGATATTGCTCTAAAACTATTTGCAAAAACACAACAGATTTGGCAAGAACACAAAAAAATCAAGATTTATAATTAACAAACATTTAAAAATTAGAAAGACCTACCCTCTGTCTAATTAAATTCTAGAATAAGACAATAGGAAATAGGATATGTTCTGTGGATAACAGCTGATAATTTTCCAGAATTATTGAAATACATCAATAAGCAGGTGTAGGAAGACCAACAAACGTACCCCAGAATCAATACCCAGACTTATTATGGTAAAATTTCAGAGCATTAGATACAAAGAGGCCTTAAAAGGAAGCCAAAGAGATCATCGACAAATGAATAGCAACTAGACTGACTGCTGGTACCTTGTAGCAACCATGGAAGTGAGAAGATAATAGAAAAAATACCATCAATAAGCTGAAAGAAAATAATTTTCTACCTAGAATTATATAACCAGAAAAAGTAACTTCCAAAGAAAAAGATCAAAAAACCCACAAAAACCAACAGAGACAAAAGTAACAATGTATCACCAAAACGTTCCTACTAAATTAAATTCTAAGGTGGATACTTCAGTAGAATAAAATGACCACAGATGGAAAGACTGAGATGCAAGAAGAAATGATGAGCAAAGTAAGTAAATTCAAAGAAGCATGGATTCTATGAAAAATAATTATGATAAATGGGAAAATAGTCTAGAAGTAAAATACTGTATAACTGTAGTATGTAAGTTTGGATGGGGGTAATTAAAGTTAATGCACTTCAAATCTTCATATTGTTGAAAAGAAGGGTAAATAATGTTGAAATGCAAATATTTGAAAGTCAAATATGGAAAACAATAAGTCAAATAAATAATATTAGCCAAAAAAACCTGCACTACATATGACAAACCCACAATTAAAATCATAATGGTAAAAAGTTGAAGGCTTTTCCTCTAAGATCAGAAATAAGACAAGGATGCCCACTTTCACCACTTCTATTAAACATTGAACTGGAAGTCTGAGTCACAAGAATTATTCAAGAAAAAGAAATTAAAAGCTTCCAAATCAGAAAGGAAGAAGTTAAATCGTCACTGTTTTCAGATGACATGCTCCTATATGTAGAAAACCCTAAAGCTTCCACTAAAAAAAAAAAAAAATCAGAACTAATAAACAAATTCAGTAAAGTTGCAGAATACAAAGTCAACATATAAAAATCAGTTGCATTTCTTTACAACAATAACAATGTATCCTATAGAGAAATCAAGAAAACAATCCCATTTATAATAGCATCAAAGAATACTTACGAATACATTTAGCCAAAGAGATGAAAAATCTATACACAGAAAATAAAACAATAATGAAAGAAATTAAAGAAGGCATAAATAAATGAAAGAATATTGTGTATTCATGGATTATAAGAATTAATATCACTAAAATGTTCATACTACCTAAAACAATACACAGATTCAACATAATCTCTATCAAAATTCCAATGAACTTTTTTACAGGAACAAATAAAATAATTCTTAAATTCATATGGAACCAAAAAACACCCTGAATAGTCAAAATATTCTTAAGGGAAAAAAAAAAAAAAAAAAAAAAAAAAAACAAAGTTGGAGGCATCACATTCCTAATTTCAAATTGTATTACAAAGCAACAGTAATCAAAACAGTATGGTGGCACATACTTGTAATCCCAGCACTTTGGGAGGCCAAGGCAGGTGAATTGCTTGAGTTCAGGAATTCCAGACTAGCCTGAGCAACATGGCTAAACCCCATATCAAAAATAAATAAATAAATAAGTTGGGTGTGGTGGTATGCACCTGTAGTCCTGCCTACTTGAGAGGCTGAGATGGGAGAATTGTTTCAGCTCAGGAGGTCAAGGCTGCAGTGAGCTGAGACAGCACCACTGCACTCCAGCAAATACCTTGTCTCAAAAAAACCACAGTATAGTACTGGCATAAAAACATATACATAGACCAATGGAACAGAATCAGGAGCCCAGAAATAAATCCAAGCATATATGGTCAATTAATCTTTGGCAATGCCACCAAGAAGACATGATAGAGAAGGGATGGTCTATTCAATAAATAGTGTTGGGAAAATTGGAAATCCACATGCCAAAGAATGAAACTGGACACTTACATTACACCATACACAAAAAAATCAACTCAAAATGGATCAAAGATCTAAATGTAAGACCCAATACCATAAAACTCCTAGGAAAAAAAAAAATAAGAGAAAAGTTCCTTGACGTGGGTCTTGGCAATTATTTTTTGGATATGACACCAAAATAACAGGCAAGAAAAGCAAAACAAAAAATGAAAAAGAAGTAGAACTACATCTGACTAAAAAGCTTCTGCAGAGCAAAGAAAACAATAAACAAAATGAAAAGGCAGCCTACGAATTAGAAGAAAATATTTGCCAACCATTTATCAGGTAAAGGGTTAATCTCCAAAATATACAGGGAACTGACACAACTCAACAGCAAAAAGGCAAATAACCTGATTTAAAAGTAGGTAGCCCTGGCAGGGCGCAGTGGCTCACGCCTGTAATCCCAGCACTTTGGGAGGCCGAGGCAGGCGGATCACAAGGTCAGGAGATTGACACCATCCTGGCTAACACAGTGAAATCCCATCTCTACTAAAAACATAAAAAAATTAGCTGGACATGGTGGCGGGCGCCTGTAGTCCCAGCTACTCGGGAGACTGAGGCAGGAGAACAGTGTGAACCCGGGAGGCAGAGGTTGCAGTGAGCCAAGATCGCACCACTGCACTCCAGCCTGGGCCACAGAGCGAGACTCCGTCTCAAAAAAAAAAAAAAAAAATAGGCAGCCTGGCACGGTGGCTCATGCCTGTAATCCCAGCACTTTGGGGGGCCAAGAAGGGTGGATCACCTAAGGTCAGGAGTTCAAGACCAGCCTGGCCAACATGGTGAAACCCCATCTCTACTAAAAATAAAAAAATTAGCCAGGCATGGTGGCGTGTGTCTGTAATCCCAGCTACTAAGGGGGCTGAGGCAGGAGAATTACTTGAACCCAGGAGGCGGAGGTTGCAGTGAGCCAAGATCATGCCACTGCACTCCAGTCTGGGCAACAGAGCAAGACTCTGTCTCAAAAAAAAAAAAAAATGGACATTTTCCCAAAGACATAAAAATGGCCAAGAATATGAAAAGGTGCTCAACATCACTAATTCACAGGGAAATGCAAATCAAAACCACAATAAGCTATCATCTCATGCCCATTAAGATGGCTGTTAACAAAAGGACATGATATAATAAGTATTGGCCAAGGTGTAGAGAAAGAAAACCTTTGTGCACTGTTGGTGGCAATGCAGATTGGTGTAGCCATTAAGAAAAACAGTATGGAGGTTCCTAAAGAAATTAAAAATAGAACTACCATATGCCCTAGCAATCGCTATTCCAGATATATACCCAAAAGAAATAAAATCAACACTTTGTAAAGATATCTGCACTCCCATGTTCACTGTAGCATGATTCACAGTAGCAAAGATATGGAAACAACCTAAGTGTCTGTGGACAGATGAATGAATAAAGAAGTTGTGGGATATATATATGTGTGTATGTGTGTGTGTGTGTGTGTGTGTGTGTGTGTGTAATATTATTCAGTCTTAAAAAGGAAAGAGATTCAGCCAGGCGCAGTGGCTCATGTCTGTAATCCCAGCACTTTGGGAGGCCGAGGTGGGTGGATCACAAGGTCAGGAGATCGAGACCATCCTGGCTAACAGGGTGAAACCCCATCTCTACTAAAAATACAATTTAAAAAATTAGCTGGGCATGGTGGTGGGCACCTGTAGTCCCAGCTAGTAAGGAAGCTGAGGCAGGAGAATGGCATGAACCAGGGAGGCGGAGCTTTCAGTGAGCTGAGATCACACCACTGCACTCCAGTCTGGGTGACAGAGGGAGACTCCGTCTCAAAATAAATAAATAAATAAGGAAAGAGATTTTGCCATTTGCAACAACGTGGATGAAACTAGGGGACATTATGCTAAGTGAAATAAGCCAGACAGAAAAAGACAAATGCTGCATGATCTCACTTATATATGGATACTTTAAAAAAATCAAATACATACAAACGGAATAGAACAGTGATTACCAAGGGTGGAGGAGTGCAGAAAATAGGAAGATATGAGTACAAAGGTACAAACTTGCAGTTATGTCATATGAATAAGTCTAGAGATGTAGTGTACAATGTGAAGATTATTAATAATATTGTACTGTATGCTGGAAATTTGCCAGAAGGGTCTATCTTAGGTAATCCTACAAGATTAACTAAAAGGAAAGATTAACTTTGTGATATGGTTTGACTTTGTGTCCCCACCCAAATCTCATCTCAAATTGTAATCTCCAGGAGTTTAGGGAAGGACCTCATGGGAGGTGATTGAATCATGGGGTGGTTTCCCCATGCAGTTGTCGTGATAGTGAGTTCTCACAAGATCTAATGGTTTTATGCGTGTTTGACAGTTCCTTCTTCACAAGGGTTCACTTTGCTGCCACCTTGTGAAGAAGGTGCCTGTTTCGCCTTCTGCCATAATTGGAAGTTTCCTGAGGCCTCCTCAGCCTTGCAAAACTGTGAGTTAATTAAATCTCTTTTCTTTGTAAATTACCCAGTCTCAGGTAGTATCTTTATAGCAGTGTGAAAATAGACTAATACAGAGAATTGGTACCAGCACAGCGGGGTACTGCTATAAAGATAACTGAAAATATGGAAAAGACTTTGGAACTGGGTAGAGATTGGAACAGTTTGGAGGGCTCAGAAGAAGACAGAAATATGTGGAAAAGTATGAAACTTCCTAGAGACTTGTTGAATGGTTTTGACCAAAATGCTGATAGTAATATGGACAATGAAGTCCAGGCTGAGGTGGTCTCATATGGAGATGAAGAACTTACTGGGAACTGAAGCAAAGGTCACTCTTGCTATGCCTTAGCAAAGAGACTGGTGGCATTTTGCCCTTGCCCTAGAGATCTGTGGACTTTTGAACTTGATAGAGATTATCTGAAATTGGAACTTACATTTAAAAGGGAAGCAGAGCATAAAAGTTTGGAAAATTTGCAGTCTGACAATGCAATAAAAAAAGAAAACCCCATTTTCTGGGGAGAAATTCAAGCCTGCTGCAGAAATTTGCATAAGTAACGAGTAGCCAATGTTAATCACCAAGATAATGGGGGAAATGCCTCCAGGGCATGTCAGAGATCTTGGTGGCAGCCTCTCCCATCAGAGGCCCAGAGGCCTAGGAGGAAAAAATAATTTTTGTGCCAGGCCCAGGGCCCCCCAGCTCTGTGTAGTCTCAGGACTTGGTGCCCTGTGTCCCAGCTGCTTCAGCTCCAGCTGTGGCTAAAAGGGGCCAAGGTACAGCTTGGGCAGTTGCTTCAGAGGGTGTAAGCCCCAAGCCTTGGGAGCTTCCACATAGTGTTGGGCCTGTGGGTGCACAGAAGTCAAGAATTGAGGTTTGGGAACCTCCATCTAGATTTCAGACAGTGTATGGATGTCCAAGCAAAAGTCTGCTGCAAGAGTGGAGCCCTCGTGGAGAACCTTTACTAAGGCAGGGTGGAAAGGAAATGTGGGGTTGGAGCCCCAGCACAAAGTCCCCACTGGGGCACTGCCTAGTGGGGCTGTGAGAAGACGGTCACCATCCTTCATACCCCAGAATGGTAGATCCACTGACAGCCTGCGCTCTGTACCTGGAAAAGCCACAGGCACTCAATGCCAGCCTGTGAAAGAGCTGCCCAAGGCCATGGGAGCCCACCCCTTGCATCAGTGTGCCCCAGATGTGAGACATGGAGTCACTGGAGATCATTTTGGAGCTTTAAGATTTAATTATTACCCCGCTGGATTTGGGACTTGCATGGGGCTGTGGCACCTTTGTTTTGGCCAATTTTTACCACTTGGAATAGATCTATTTGCCCAATGCCTGGACCTCATTGTATCTAGGAAGTAACCAATTTGCTTTTGATTTTATAGGCTTATAGGTGGAATGGACTTGCCTTGTCTCAGATGAGACTTTGGACATTGGGCTTTTGAGTTAATGCTGAAATGAGTTAAGACTTTGGGAGACTGTTGGGAAGGCATGATTGGTTTTGAAATGTAAAAAGGACATGAGATTTGGGAGCGGCCAAGGGTGGAATGACAGGGTTCAGCTTTCTCTCCCCACCCAAATTCCATCTGGAATTGTAATCTCCAGGTGTTGAGGGTGGGACCTCATACATAATTGAATCACGGGGGCAGTTTCTGCATGCTGTTCTCATGATAGTGGGTTTTCATGAGATCTCACGGTTTTATAAGTGCTTGACAGTTTCTCCTTCACTTGTGCTCTCTCTCCAGCTGCCTTGTGAGGAAGGTGCTTGCTTTGCCTTCTGCCGTGATTGTTAAGTTTCCTGAGGCCTCCCCAGCCATGCAGAACTGTGAGTCAATTAACCCTCCTTTCCTTTATAAATTACCCAGTCTCAGGTAACTCTTTATTATAGCAGTGTGAGAAAGGACTAACATAGTATGTGAGACGACGAATATATTAATTAACTATAGTAATCACTTCACCATATATATGTATTATCAGAACACCACATTGTATACCTCAAATATAGACAAGTTTTAAAATAAGAAAAATAAAACAAAACTACTATTTGTTCCCCTTTTTGAAAAAAAACACATACACACGGAACATTGATCCAGATACACTGTATGCTGGGCCATAAAGCAAGTCTCAACAAATGTCAAAGGATTGCAATCATACAAAATATTGAATTAAACTAAAAAATAAGCTTTTTAAAAGTCATTAGAAAATCCTGGGCCAGGCACGGTGGCTCACACCTGTAATCCTAGCACTTAGGGAGCCCAAGATGGGTGGATCATCTTAGGTCAGGAGTTCGAGACCAGCCTGGCCAACATGGTAAAACCCCATCTCCACTAAAAATACAAAAATTAGCCAGGTGTGGTGGCAGGTGCCTGTAATTCCAGCTACTCAGAGGCTGAGGAAAGAGAATCATTTGAATCCAGGAGGTGGAGGTTGCAGTGAGCCAAGATCATGCCACTGCACTCCAGCCTGGGTGACACAGTGAGACTCCATCTCAAAAAAAAAAAAAAAAAAAAAAAAAGAAAGAAAAGAAAAAGAAAATCCTATATACACCATGGAACACTATGCAGCCATAAAAAGGAATGAGATCATGTCCTTGGCAGGGACATGGATGAAGCAGGAACCCCTTAGCCTCAGCAAACTAACCCAGGAACAGAAAACCAAACACTGCATGTTCTCACTTATAAGTAGGAGTTGAAAGATGAGAACACATGGATACACGGTGGAGGGAAAAACACACATTGGGGCTTGTTGGGGTCGGGGGAGGGAGAGCATCAGGAAGAACAGCTAATGGATGCTGGGCTTAACACCTAGGTGATGGTTGATCTGTGCAGCAAACCTCCATGATACACCTATGTAACAAACCTGCACATCCTGCACATGTACCCTGAAACTTAAAATAAGAAAAAAAAGAACAAATCTCCCCAAACTCAGCAACATATCACAAGTCTTTTAAATTTTTTTAGTGGGTTGATGACCCTTAGTCTCCTATTCGTTCATTCTTGCCTTCTTTTGAAAACACATACACACACACACACACACACACACACACACGCCCAAAGAAAATTTAACTCCAAGTATCTGCACCTGAGAAAGGAGCTCCATTGCCAAGTATTTTGCCCCCAGGAATGACATGTTGTTTTAACATCTCCATGACTTCCTGCAGGTCAGCCCTTCTTGGCCACCATTCTGACCCTGTTGGTAGTTATAATAACCACCTGGCTTCTGGGGCCTAAGCACTGCCATTTGTCCTCAATTGCTTCAGGCTCCATATCCCAGTTGCCATCAGTGAGCCCACTCCTGTGACAACTTCTTCTGTCACCATTGCTCCCTGCTGAGGGAGCCACCACCGACCACCAACACCCTTTCACAGCTCAATCTGGATGGCCTTGGTGGATGATGTGTCCTCTAGGCCTTCCCATGGAATATAGACCTCTAGTGAGCTGATTGGCCTCACAGAATATATCCATTTTAGCATGCTCACTTCTTGTGTAATCCCTTATTCTATCATCTACCAGAGAAATTCAGGTATTTCAACCTTGCTCAGCATGGGACATTGCCTTTTCCAATCTTCTAGGAGCCACCTTAGCAGCAAGTTTGCATCATTTCCAGGTATTATATCCCAAAAGAGTTTCCTCTAAGTCAGTCAGGAGATCGAGACCACCCTGGCTAACATGGTGAAACCCTGTCTCTACTAAAAATACAAAAAAAATTAGCTGGACGTAGAGGTGGGTGCCTGTAGTCCCAGCTACTCGGGAGGCTGAGGCAGGAGAATGGCGTGAACCCAGGAGGCAGAGCTTGCAGTGAGCCGAGATAGCGCCACTGCACTTCAGCCTGGGTGACAGAGCGAGACTCCGTCTCAAAAAAAAAAAAAAAAGTTCCTCTAAGTCAAGAAACTCTCTCATCTCCAGTATTACGATCACTCCCCGGCCTTGATTAAGCACCCTCAGAATCTAGTCCCACACTGCTGGTCCATGCTGTCTAGGGCTGTAGACCCTTTCCTCTCTTAGCTCATGCAGCATATGCCCTGATGGGCTTATGTTGCAACTTAACTCTGGTTCTAAGTCTGGCAGCACCAGGACAGGGGAACAGCTCCTGAGTTGGGCACCTATTGACCTGAGGTAGAGAGACTTCTGTCCTGTTGCTCTGTGGAGTGCTGGTTTGTAATGGGATGGATGAGCCACTCAGGATAGGCCAGAACTATCAGTCCTGAGCCTCATATCCCACCTTTTCTGTTAGCCTACTGCAAGGCATGAGAACTGCTTTGCAAACTCTCATACTTAATTTTTTTATTGTTAATTGCTCTCAGGTTTCTAAATTTGCATTCACTGTTGTCTTATCATCCCATAGGGCTTGGATGCACTTGATAATGACCATCCATAACAACCAGCAGGATTGGGCAGGGAACCATCAAATCACAATGCAGATTTAACTCCGTCTTTGCACCTCAAAAAGGGGCTCCAAATTTTCTCTCTTGCTCGTCTGCTTTGTATCTCTTTGCCTTCTGCTCTTATCTTTATTATTTCCATCCTTCTATTTTGTTTGTGCTTAATTTGCTGTTCTTTTTCTAGCTCCTTGATATAGATACTTGAATAATCGATTTTTTTTCTAGAATAGGCTGTAGTAGACATAGAGATGTGCCACTCTGATAACCCTTCAAAAAAGAACTGTGGGCCAGGTTGGGTGGCACATGCCTGTAATCCAGTGCTTTGGGAAGCCAAGTTGAGAGATTCACTTGGGGCCAGGAGTTTAGGACCAGCCTGGGCAACATAGCAAGACCCTATCTCCACAAAAATAAGAAATTAGCCAGGCATGGAGGCATGCACTTGTAGTCCTGCCTACTCAGGAGGCTGAGGTGGGAGTTCAAGAGGTCGAGGCTACAGTGATCTATGATCATACCACTGCACTCCAGTCGGTGACAGAGTGAGACTGCCCAGCTGCTTATAAGAGTGGTCATATGACAGTCTCCAGAAGGCAATAGAAGAGAAAGCAGATGGATAAGAGAGAAAACACAGAAGTCAAAAGTTGGTTGTTTGGAAAGACTAATAAAATTGATAACTTCCTAGCAAGATTTATTAAGAAAAAGAGACATAAAGAAAGAGAATACAAACTGCCAATATCAGGATTCAATATAGATGAAAAAGATAAGAAAACATTATGAATCATTTTTGCCAATACATTTGACAACTTAGATAAAATGGGCAGAATCCTTTAAAAGCATGACTTACTAAAATAGCCACAGAGAAAATTGAAATTTTAAATAATCCCAAATCTGTCAAAGTAATTGAATCCATAATTTAAAAACTTTTCCACAAAGAAAACTCTGGTTCCAGATAGTATCACTGGTAAATTCTTCCAAACATTTGAGGAAGAAATCATACTTACCTTGTATTAACTCTGTTAGAAAATAGAGACCAGGGACTACTTTCTAGCTTGTTTTATGAGGCTTGATAGCATAATATGTCAAGAATATTATAAGAAAGTAAAATTATAGGCCAATTTCTGTCAGACTAAGGCAGAAATTCAAAACAAAATAATAACAAATCAGATTCAGCAAGTGTGGTTTATCCTAGGAAGGCAAGATTGATTTAATATTCAAAAATCAATCAATGCAATTCATCACATTAACAGAATAAGTGACAAATATATAATCATCTCAGTAGATTTAGAAAAGTTATTTGATTAAATTCAATACCCATTCATCATTTTAAAAACCCTCAGCAAAATAGAATTAAAAGGAAACTTCCTCAATCTCATAAAGGGTAGAACAAAACACCCACAGCTAACAATAAAGTTGAAACAGTGAACTTTTTCCCCTATCAGAGCCAGGCAAGGATGTCCACTATGGTTTTTCTTTCAACTGTTAATTGTTCATTCTAGCCAGTGTAATGAGGCCAGAAAAATAAGTAAAACATATAAAACTTGTACAGAAAAATGTAAAACGTTCATTTGAAAATTATGTGACTGTTAACATAAAATATTCAAAATAATCTACAAACTATTGAATTTAATGACTGAATTGAGTGCGGTTACTAGATGCATGGTCAATATACAAAAATCGGATCAGTTAGGAGGTAGTGTCACATATTCTAAAAGTTGACTTCAAACTCTTTCCTACCCTTGGCAATTTATCTAGCTTCTCCATACAGGTGATCTTCTTAGTTTAGATGGGGGGAAAAACCTGCTAGAACAACTCTAACATTCTTTGAATGAGAGTGAGTGGTGCTCCCAAGAGAAGAAATTGGTCTTTGTTTAGGGAAACAACTTTTTCATGAGTTGTTGGTTATGAAATGTAAGACTCAAGGTTTTCACCAGAATGGGGAGGATCTGTAAAAGAGAACTAAAGTTATCTTCATAATAATATAAAAGACTAACCTCTGAGGAGAGAGCATTTTGAGTTGTTTCCTGTTTTGTATCTTATTTCCTCTCTGTTGTCCTCCAATGCAGCAAAACTATATTAATTGCTTAATTAGTGTCAGATGTATTTTGGAATTTTCTTAGGAAATAAAGGAAGGGCTGTGATCAGATTGGTGGGTGAATTGAACCACAGAAAACAGAAAGCAATAAAGTATAGCAAACCAGGGAGGCAACCCAACAGCCAAAAGTGGTCTAGAATAATCTGACAACTGGAGTTTGCAGTTGACAGATGCTGTCTGGGAATTTTCAGAAATATTTCGGAGGGGACTAAATTTACTAAAATCAAAAGTGAGATGTGGACTCAAGTTATTTTATTTGGATATAAAAAATAGTTACACCTCAGTTATCTATAGACTTGGGGATATTCAGTTTCATTATAATTACTGTACTGATGAATAACTTTTGTATGAAAATAGTATATCACATAACTTGCAAAGCACTTTACTTTTTATTATATAATTTCACAGATAATTCATTATTGTTTTATTCTCCAAACCTGTCCCAATACGTGGAAGAGATGATATATATTTTCCCTAAATAATACTTTTAAGGTATTTAAACAGAACCTAACACCATTTTAGAATAGAGCCATGCAATGATTTCTTCAGGATTATTAAGTAATCCATTCTATTTACCATAGAGCAAACACCCAGCTCATTTGAAATTGTTTGCTTGTTTGTTTTTTAGAGATGGGGTCTTGCCGTGTTGCCCAGGCTGGATTAGAATTCCTGGGCTCAAAAGATTCTGCTGTTTCAGCCTCATCAGTAGCTGAGACTATAAACATGTACCACCTCACCCAGCTGAAATAAGATTTTAAATTTGAAAGTAGACCTCACCTTTCAAGGACATCTTTATTAGAGAGCATGTTGATACTCTCTAGTGGCTTGGGCCAGATGGCCCTATAATTCTCCCCCCTTCAGGTTCTATAATGCATGGAGATGGAAGAGAATGAATAAAGAGAACGTCAGAAAGGCTCAAGTGTCAAAAGAGAAATGTACCAATTATACTGCTTCCCTTAGCAAAAGTGAACCTGGGATTAGCATGGCAGCGATGGAGGTCACATCTGTCTGTGAGGAGCAGAGACATCATTAAATAGCTTTTGTTTTATCAATGAATAATGTCATCTGGCTTTTCTTCCCTTAAACTAGAGCTAATTGATCAGCTCTCTCTTCCTCAAAAAAGGTGTTATCTTACACATTAACTGCAAAGCACTTTCAAAGTTTTTCCTCGAGCAGCCCACAGCAACCAAGGAAAGAAACTCCACATGTGCACAGGAAGTTGGGATGACCCTGAATCTAATATAAGAGCATGTCATGCAAAATTAAACTGGGGGGCATTCTCCAAAAGAAGTGGCCTGTATTCTTCAAAACTTCCAGGATCTTTAAGGACAATGAAAGGCTGCAGTTCTGATGAAAGGAGACGAAGGAGACATGACAGCTCCATGCACTGTGTGGTCCCCTTTGGATCCTGGATCAGAGAAAAAATATCTATAAAGAACATGAATATGGCAATTGATAAAAATTGAATGTGCACTGTAGATTATATCATGGTATTGTCTCAGTGCTAAGTTACCTAAATTTAATCATTGTACTGTGGTTATGTAAGAATTATTGTTCTTACAAAATTCATGCTGAGCTATTTAGGAGTAAGGGCATGGTGTCTGCTATTAAGTTTTAAATAGTTCAAAAAATAGTAATACACACATATGTTTAGAGAGGAGTAATAAAGCAAATGTGGCAGGATAAGGTTAGTGTCAAAGTAGAATTTTCTAAATGTTAATGACATGAATCTCACACAAATATATGACATATAGAATGAACATGCTTCAGAAATTTATTTTACTCATTAATGAAAGAGCTAACAGAATCGTAAAGCTGACTCAAAGGGAATTGAGGAGAGTGAGCATTATAAATGCTATAATTATAAATTATAGGCACTGAAAGAAATAATGCTGAATACGATTGTTAGGTTAGATATAAAACTAGTTACTGGCCCACAGTGCTATAAAATCGTAATCCTTTGGCCATCTTTTCTAAAGGGGAGAAATTATTTTGTATCTATACTGCAAAAAAAATCATTTCCACATTATAAATCTGCAAGATAACATTTAATTTTACAGAATGTGAGCCCTAGCTGATGGTAAACGGTAAGTGAAACAAAGGTACAGAACTCGTAGACAATGCTCATGTATGGCAATAAGAAGACATGGTCACCTTTTACTTCATATCCAAGTCTTGGGTGTTTTTTCTTAACACTTGGAATACATACAAGAATGAATGAAATAAACTTTAAGCACATAACTGTAAGGATTTAACCTTATCAATCTATCAATGCCAACAAGTTTCTCTGGGATTTATCTATTTATTGGTGTGTTTGTTTGTTTAATTATTTACTTTTGCAACAAGTAAAGAGACTGTTAAGACTGTCTTTCTGTCCCAGGAGGAAATACTCTACAAAAATATCATCTCTTTGCCTTCACTATTACTAATGTCATTAAAGGAGTACAGGCTCTGCTAGAAGGAGTACAAAGTTCAGAACATTCAGAACTTTCCTTAAACTGGTCAGCCAAATTGAAGGAAATAGGTTACAATGTCTTTGAAAAAAGAGAATAAATCTTCAGAAAAACAAGCTTTACTAGTCCATTTTCACCCTGTTGAAAAAGACATACCAAAGACTGGGCAATTTACAAAAGGAAGAGAATTAATGGACTCACAATTCCATGTGGCTGGGGAGGCCTCACAATCATGGTGGAAGGTGAAAGGCATGTCTCACCATTGCGAGACCAGGAGGGCCAGAGAGAGACCTTGGGGTGTATACAGAAGGATATCTTTATTGAGTGCACTCAGACTTAACATCCAAAGACTGGGCCCAGAATAAAGACAGCACTTGATTTTTTTAAATTATTATTATACTTTAAGTTCTAGGGTACATGTGCACAATGTGCAGGTTACATGTGCCATGTTGGTTTGCTGCATCCATCAACTCATCATTTACATTAGGTATTTCTCCTAATGCTATACCTACCCCAGCCCCACAGCCCCCGACCAGCCCCAGTGTGTGATGTTCCTTGCCCTGTGTCCATGTGTTCTCATTATTCAACTCCCACTTATGAATGAGAACATGCAGTGTTTGGTTTTCTGTCCTTGTGATAGTTTGCTTAGAATGATGGTTTCCAGCTTCATCCATGTCCCTGCAAAGGACATGAACTCATCCTTTTTTTATGGCTGCATAGTATTCCATGGTGTATATGTGCCACATTTTCTTAATCCGGTCTATCATTGATGGACATTTGGGTTGATCCCAAGTCTTTGCTATTGTGAATAGTGCCACAATAAACATATGTGTGCATGTGTCTTTATCGTAGAATGATTTATAATCCTTTGGGTATATGCCCAGTAATGGGACTGCTGGGTCAAATGGTATTTCTAGTTCTAGATCCTTCAGGAATCGCCACACTGTCTTCCACAATGGTTGAACTAATTTGCACTCCCACCAACAGTGTAAAAGCGTTCCTATTTCTCCACACACTCTCCAACATCTGTTGTTTCCTGACTTTTTAATGATCGCCATTCTAACTGGCATGAGATGGTATCTCATTGTGGTTTTGATTTGCATTTCTCTAATGACCAGTGATGATAAGCATTTTTTCATGTGTCTGTTGGCTGCATAAATGTCTTTTTTTGAGAAGTGTCTGTTTATATCCTTTGCCCAATTTGATGTGGTTGTTTGTTTTTTTCTTGTAAATTTGTTTAAGTTCTTTGTAGATTCTGGATATTAGCCCTTTGTCAGATGGCTGGATTGCAAAAATTTTCTCCCATTCTGTAGGTTGCCTCTTCGCTCTGATGATAGTTTCTTTTGCTGTACAGAAGCTCTTTAGTTTAATTAAACCCAATTTGTCTATTTTGGCTTTTGTTGCCATTGCTTTTGGTGTTTTAGTCATAAAGTCTTTACTCATGCCTATGTCCTGAATTATTGCCTAGGTTTTCTTCTATGGTTTTTACGGTGTTAGGTCTTACATTTAAGTCTTTAATCCATCTTGAGATAATTTTTGTATAAGGCGTAAGGAAGGGATCCAGTTTCAGCTTTCTACATATGGCTAGCCAGTTTTCCCAGCATCATTTATTAAATAGGGAATCCTTTCCCCATTGCTTGTTTTTGTCAGGTTTGTCAAAGATCAGATGGTTGTAGATGTGTGGTGTTATTTCTGAAACCTCTGTTCTTTTCCATTGGTCTATATATCTGTTTTGGTACCAGTACCATGCTGTTTTGGTTACTGTAGCCTTGTAGTATAGTTTGAAGTCAGGTAGTATGATGCCTCCAGCTTTGTTCTTTTTGCTTAGGATTGTCTTGGCTATCCAGGCTCTTTTTTGGTTCCATATGAACTTTAAAGAAGTTTTTTCCAATTCTATGAAGAAAGTCATTGGTAGCTTTATGGGGATAGCATTCAATCTATAAATTACTTTGGGCAGTATGGCCATTTTCACAATATTGCTTCTTCCTATCCATGAGCATGAAATGTTCTTCCATTTGATTGTGTTCTCTTTTATTTTGTTGAGTGGTGGTTTGTAGTTCTCCTTGAAAAGGGCCTGAACTTGCCTTGTAAGTTGGATTCCTAGGTATTTTATTCTCTTTTTAGTAATTGTGAATGGGAGTTCCCTCATGATTTGGCTGTTTGTCTATTATTGGTGTATAGGAATGCTTGTGATTTTTGCACATTGATTTTGTATCCTGAGACTTTGCTGAAGTTGCTTATCAGTTTAAGGTGATTTTGGGCTGAGACAATAGGGTTTTCTAAATATACAATCATGTCATCTGCAAACAGAGATAATTTGACTTCCTCTTTTAGTAATTGAATACCCTTTATTTCTTTCTCTTGCCTGATTGCCCTAGCCAGAACTTGCAACACTATGTTGAATACAAGTGCTGCGAGAGGGCATCCTTGTCTTGTGCTGGTTTTCAAAGGGAATGCTTCCAGTTTTTGCCCATTCAGTATGATATTGGCTGTGGGTTTGTCATAAATAGCTCTTATTATTTTGAGATACCTTCCATCAATACCTAGTTTATTGAGAGTTTTTAGCATGAAGCGATGTTGAATTTTGTCAAAGGCCTTTTCTGCATCTATTGAGATAATCATGTGGTTTTTGTTGTTGGTTCTGTTTATGTGATGGATTACATTTATTGATTTGTGTATGTTGAACTAGCCTTGCATCCCAGGGATGAAGCCGACTTGATCATGGTGGATAAGCGTTTTGATATGCTGCTGGATTCAGTTTGCCAATATTTTGTTGAGGATTTTCACATCAATGTTAATCAGGGATATTGGCCTAAAATTCTTTTTGTTGTGTCTCTACCAGGCTTTGGTATCAGGATGATGCTAGCCTAGTAAAATGATTTAGGGAGGATTCCCTCTTTTTCTATTAATTGGGATAGTTTCAGAAGGAATAGTACCAGCTCCTCTTTGTACCTCTGGTAGAATTCAGCTGTGAATCCGCCTGGTCCTGGACTTTTTTTGGTTGGTAGGCTATTAATTATTGCCTCAATTTCAGAACCTGTTATTGGTCTATTCAGAGATTCAACTTCTTCCTGGTTTAGTCTTGTGAGGGTGTATGTGTCCAGGAACTTATCCATTTCTTCTAGATTTTCTAGTTTATGTGCATAGAGATGTTGATAGTATTCTCTGATGGTAGTTTGTATTTCTGTGGGATGGGTGGTGATATCTTCTTTATCACTTTTTATTGAGTCTATTTTATTCTTCTCTCTTGTCCTGCTAGTGGTCCATCTATTTTGTTGATCTTTTCAAGAAACCAGGCCCTGGGTACATTGATTTTTTAAAGGGTTTTTTGTGTCTCTATCTCCTTCAGTTCTACTCTGTTCTTAGTTATTTCTTGTGTTCTGCTAGCTCTTAAATGTGTTTGCTCTTGCTTCTCTAGTTCTTTTAATTGTGATGTTAGGGTGTCGATTTTAGATCTTTCCTGCTTTCTCTTTTGGGCATTTAGTGCTATAAATTTCCCTCTACACACTGCTTTAAATGTGTCCCAGAGAATCTGGTACATTGTGTCTTTGTTCTCACTGGTTTCAAAGAACATCTTTGTTTCTGCCTTCATTTTGTTATTTACCCAGTAGTCATTCAGGAGCAGGTTGTTCAATTTCCATGTAGTTCTGCAGTTTTGAGTGAGTTTCTTAATTCTGAGTTCTAATTTGATTGTACTGTGGTCTGAGAGACAGTTTCTTGTGATGTCTGTCTGCTCTTTTACGTTGCTGAGGAGTGTTTTTCTTCCAATTAAATGGTAAATTTTAGAATAAGTGCGATGTGGTGCTGAGAAGAATGTATATACTGTTGATTTGGGGTGGAGAGTTCTGTAGATGTCTGTTAGGTACGCTTGGTCCAGAGCTGAGTTCAAGTCCTGGATATCCTTGTTAATTTTCTGTCTCTTTGATCTAATATTGACAATGGGGTATTAAAGTCTCCCACTATTATTGTATGGGAGTGTAAGTCTCTTTGTAGGTCTCTAAGAACTTGCTTTATGAAGCCAGGTGCTCCTGTATTGGGTGCATATGTATTTAGGATAGTTAGCTCTTCTTGTTGCATTGATCCCTTTACCATTAAGTAATGCCCTTCTTTTTTTCTTTTGGTCTTTGCTGGTTTAAAGTCTGTTTTATCAGAGACTAGGATTGAAACCCCTGCTTTTTTCTTTGCTTTCCATTTGCTTGGTAGATCTTCCTCCATCCCTTTATTTTGACCCTATGTGTGTCTTTTCAAGTGAAGTGGGTCTCCTGAATACAGCACATTGATGCAGTCCGTGTCTTTTAATTGGGGCATTTAGCCCATTTACATTTAAGTTTCATATTGTTATGTGTGAATTTGATCTTGTCATTATGTTGTCAGCTGGTTATTTTGCCCATTAGTTGATGCAGTTTCTTCATAACGTCGATGGTCTTTACAATTTGACATGTTTTTGCAGTGGCTGGTACCAGTTGTTCACTTCCATGTTTAGTGCTTCCTTCAGGAGCTCTTGTAAGGCAGGCCTGGTGGTGACAAAATCTCTCAGCATTTGCTTGTTTGTAGAGGCTTTTATTTCTCCTTCGCTTATGAAGCTTAGTTTGGCTGGATATGAAATTCTAGGTTGAAAATTCTTTTCTTTAAGAACATTGAGTATTGGCCCTTACTCTTTTCTAGCTTGTAGGGTTTCTGCCGAGAGATCTGCTGTTAGTCTGATGGGCTTCCCTTTGTGGGTAACCTGACCTTTCTCCCTGGCTGCCCTTAACATTTTTTCCTTCATTTCAACCTTGGGGAATCTGATGATTATTTGTCTTGGGGTTGCTCTTCTCAAGGAGTATCTTTGTCACCTTCTCTGTATTTCCTGAATTTGAATGTTGGCCTGCCTTGCTAGATTGGTGAAGTTCTCCTGGATAATATCCTGAAGAGTGTTTTCCAACTTGGTTCCATTTTCCCCTCACTTTCAGGTACACCAATCAAATGTAGATTTGGTCTTTTCACCTAGTCCCATATTTCTTGGAGGCTTTGTTCATTTTTTCTCACTCTTTTTTTCTCTGATCTTGTCTTCTTGCTTTATTTCATTAAGTCAATCTTCAGTCACTGATATCCTTTCTTCCACATGATCGATTCAGCTACTGAAGCTTGTGTATGCTTCACGAAGTTCTCATGCTGTGTTTTTCAGCTCCATCAGGTCATTTATATTCTTCTCTACATTGCTTATTCTAGTTAGCAATTCGTCTAACCTCCTTTCAAGGTTCTTAGCTTCCTTGCGATGGGTTAGAACACGCCCCTTTAGCTTGTATGAGTCTGTTATTACCAACCTTCTGAAGCCTACTTCTGTCAATTCTTCAAACTCATTCTCCCTCCAGTTTTGTTCCCTTGCTGGCGAGGAGTTGTGGTCCTTTGAAGGAGGAGAGGCATTCTGCTTTTTGGAATTTTCAGCCTTTCTGCGCTGGTTTCTCTCCATCTTTGTGGTTTTATCATCCACCTTTGGACTTTGATGTTGGTGACCTATGGATGGAGTTTTGGTGTGGATGTCCTTTTTGTTGATGTTGATGCTATTCCTTTCTGTTTGTTAGTTTTCCTTCTAACAGTCAGGCCTCTCAGCTGCAGGTCTGTTGGAGTTTGCCAGAGGTTCACTCCAGATCCTGTTTGCCTGAGCATCACCAGGGGAGGCTGCAGAACAGCAAATATTGCTTCCTGATCCTTCATCTGGAGGCTTTGTCCCAGAGGGGCACCCACCAGATGCCAGCCAGAGCTCTCCTGTATGAGGTGTCTGCAGCCTGACTGGGAGGTGTCTCCCAGTCAGGCTACACAAGGGTCAGGGACCCACTTGAGGAGGCAGTCTGTCCATTATCAGAGCTCAAACGCTGTGATGGGAGAACCACTTCTCTCTTCAGAGCTGTCAGACAGGGACATTTAAGTCTGCTGAAGCTGTGCCCACAGCTGCCCCTTCCCCTAGGTGCTTTTTCCCAGGGAGATGGGGGTTTTATCTATAAGTCCCCAACTGGGGCTGCTGCCTTTTGTTCAGAGATGCTCTGCCCACAGACGTGGAATCTAGAAAGGCAGATGGCCTTGTTGAGAGCGGTGGGCTTCACCCGGTTCGAACTTTCCCGGAGGCTTTCTTTACACTGTGGGCATAAAACCGCCTACTCAAGCCTCAGCAATGGTGGGTGCCCCTCCCCTCTCCAAGCTCCAGTGTCCCAGGTTGATCTCAGACTGCTGTGCTAGCAGCGAGAATTTCAAGCCAATTGATCTCAGCTTGCTGGGCTCTGTGGGCATGGGACCCACCGAGCCAGGCACCAGAGGGAATCTCCTTGTCTGCCAGTTGCAAAGACCATGGGAAAAGCACAGTATCTGGGCAGTAGTGTACTGTTCCTCCTGGTACAGTCTCTCGTGGCTTCCCTTGGCTAGGAAAGGGAAATCCCCTGATCCCTTGCACTTCCCGGGTGAGGCAACGCCTCGCCCTGCTTTGGCTCGCCATCTATGGGCTGCACCCACTGTTCAACCAGTCCCAATGAGATGAACCAGGTACCTCAGGTGGAAATGCAGAAAACACCCATCTTCTTCATCAATCTTGCTGGGAGCTGCAGATCGGAGCTGTTCCTATTTGGATATCTTGCCGGAAATCCCCATCAGTCTCTTTTATTTTAGCTATTCTGGAGGATGTGTGGTGATATCTCATTGATTTTGATTTGCATTTACATGATTATTGAGGAAATTGAACACTTTTGGACATCATTTTTTATAAATTATATATCCAGCCTTCTACTCATTTTTCTATTTGTCTTTTTCTTTTTTTGTTGTTATTATACTTTAAGTTCTAGGGTACATGTGCACAATGTGCAGGTTTGTTACATATGTATACATGTGCCATGTTGGTGTGCTGCACTCATTAACTCGTCATTTACATTAGGTATATCTCCTAATGCTATCCCTCCCCCCTCCCCCCACCCCATGACAGGCCCCGGTATGTGATGTTCCCCTTCTTTCTCAGCCTTTTGGCTAAGATCTAGTGTAGTATCTGTTCTTATCAGTTTAATATTTGTCTTTTTCTTATTGTTTATAGGAGTGCTCTGCATATTCTGGATGTGATCCCTTTGTCAGTTATGTGTGTATATATATTTTCTTCCACTCTAAAACTTGCCTCTTCACTTCCTTAATGATGTCTTTTGATAAATAAAAATTATTAATTTGAATGCGGTCTAATTTATCAATCTCTTCCTTTATAGCTACTGGTTTTTGTAATCTGTTTAAAAAATATTTCCCTACTCAAAGTTATAAAAATAATTTATTTTATTTTTTAATATTTATGTTTAAAGCTACATTCCTTCTGAAATTGATTTTTGTGGGTAGTTTAGGGTATGTTTCAAGACTTTCTGTTTACACATGGCTATCTAATTGATCTGTCAGCATTAATTTCTTAATTATATTTTTAATTTTTTTGTATTTTTTGTAGAGATGGGGTCTTGCTATGTTGCCCAGATTGGTCTCAAACTCCTGAGCTCAAGTGATCCACACACCTTGGCCTCCCAAAGTGCTGAGATTAAAGGTGTGAGCCACTGTGTCTAGCTACTTGTATTTTTGTACCCATTAATCAACCTCTCTTCACCCCTCCCTCCTTCCCACTACCCTTCCTGGCCTCTGGTAACCACTGGATACAGTGTATCTTCATGAGATCCACTTTCTTCAGTTCCACGTGATTGAGAACATGCAGTATTTGATTTTCTGTTTCTGAGTTATTTCACTTGGGATAACAGCCTCCAGCTCCATCCAAATTACATTACTGCAAATGACAAGATTTCATTCCTTTTTATGGCTGTATAATATTCCAGTGTGTGTGTGTGTGTGTGTGTGTGTGTGTGTGTGTGTGTGTGTCATGTTTTCTTTCTTCATTCATCTGTTGATGGGCACAATCTCAGCTCACCGCAACCTCCACCTCCTGGGTTTAAGCAATTATCCTGCCTCACCCTCCTGATTAGCTAGAACTACAGGCATGTGACACCATGCCCAGATATTTTCTATATTTTTGGTAGAGACAGCATTTTGCCATGTTGGCCAGGCTGGTCTCAAACTTCTGGCCTCAAGTGATCTGCCCGCCTCAGCCTCCCAAAGTGCTGGGATTACAGATATGAGCCACTGCACCTGGCCAAATTTTGGCTATTATGAAGAGTACCGCACTAGACATGGAGTGCAGAATCTCTTCCACATATTGATTTCCTTTCTTTTAGGTATATACTACATAAGTTTTAATCCTTGAAAGCCCTGTCTTAACTTACATAAGGCTATATTAACTATTTTAACTGTGGATCTGTGGGATCCCATTTTATTATTTTTATTTATTTATTTATTTATTGAGAGGGAGTCTCCATCTGTTGCCCGGACTGGAGTGCAGTGGTACGATCTCAGCTCGCTGCAACCTCTGCCTCTTGGGTTCAAGCCATTCTCCTGCCTCAGTCTCCCAAGTAGCTGAGATTATAGCGCAGGCAGCCACCATGACTCCTGGCTATTTTTTTGTATTTTTAGTAGAGATGGGGTTTCACCATGTTGGCCAGGCTGGTCTTGAACTCCTGACCTCAGGTGATCTGCCTGCCTCGGCTTCCCAAAGTGTTAGGATTACAAGTGCGAGCTACTGTGCCCAGCCACTGGGATCCCATTTTAATCAAGCCAATTTGTAAGTGCCAAAAATTTGACTTTTTAAATTTCTTATTGTGTTGGCACATCTATTCCCAATATCAGATATTTTAGTGCAATGGCTACTATGACTATGGGACATTTAGGCAAGAGTATAAAGTGAGCCACACCCATATTTCCTCTATTTTATATTTACTTTCCTAAGATTATAGGGGGTACAGTGTTTAAACTTAGTGGCATCTCAAAGTATAATTTGAGCTTCTGCATTGATTAAGTCTATGAATTGGAAATTTTTGGAAATTTGAATGTTGGCCTGCCTTGCTGGGTTAGGGAAGTTCTCCTGGATAATATCCTGAAGAGTGTTTTCTAACTTGGTTCCATTCTCCCAGTCACTTTCTGGTACACCAATCAAACGTATATTTGGTCTTTTCACATAGTCCCATATTTCTTGGAGGCTTTGCTCACTTCTTTTCACTCTTTTTTCTCTAATCTTGTCTTCTTGCTTTATTTCATTATTTGATCTTCAATCACTGATATCCTTACTTCCACTTGATCGAATCAGCTATTGAGGCTTGTGCATGCATCACAAAGTTCTCATGCCATGGTTTTCAGCTCCATCAGGTCACTTAAGGTCTTCTCGACACTGTTTATTCTAGTTAGCCGTTCATCTAACCTTTTTTCAACGTTTTTAGCTTCCTTGTGATGGGTTAGAACATGCTCCTTTAGCTCGGTGAAGTTTGTTATTACCGACCTTCTGAAACCTACTTCTGTCAACTCGTCTAATTCATTCTCTGTCCAGTCTTGTTCCCTTGCTGGTGAGGAGCTGTGATCCTTTGGAGGAAAAAAGGCTCTCTGGTTTTTAGAATTTTCAGCTTTTCTGCTCTGGCTTCTCCTCATCTTTGTGGTTTTATCAACCTTTGGTCTTTGATGTTGGTGACCTACAGACGGGATCTTGGTGTGGATGTCCTTTTTGTTGATGTTGATGCTATTCCTTTCTGTTTGTTAGTTTTCCTTCTAACAGTCAGACCCCTCAGCTGCAGGTCTGTTGGAGTTTGCTGGAGGCCCACTCCAGACCCTGTTTGTTTGGGTATCACCAGCGGAGGCTGCAGAAAAGCAAATATCGCTGCCTGATCCTTCATCTGGAAGCTTCGTCCCAGAGGGGCACCTGCCTGTTTGAGGTGTCTGTTGCCCCCTACTGGGAGATGTTTCCCACTCAGGCTACACAGGGGTCAGGGACCCACTTGAGGATGCAGTCTGTCCATTCTAGGATCTCAAACATTGTGCTGAGAGAACCACTGCTCTCTTCAGGGCTGTCAGACAGGGATGTTTAAGTCTGCAGAAGCTGTCTGTTGCCTTTTGTTCTACTCTGCCCTGCCCCCAGAGGTAGAGGCAGTAGGCCTTGCTGAGCTGAGGTGGAATGTGCCCAGTTCATGCTTCCAGGCTGCTTGTTGACACTGTGAGCTACTCAAGCCTCAGCAATGGCAGATGCCCCTCCCCCCGTCCAGCTGCAGCATCGTGGGTCGATTTCAGACTGCTGTGCTAGCAGTGGCAAGGCTCTGTGGGCGTGGGACCCACCAAGCCAGGCATTGGAGGGTATCTCCTGGTCTGCCAGTTGCTAAGACTGTTGGAATAGTGCAATATTTGGTCAGGCGTGAACCGTTTCTCCAGATACAGTCTGTCACAGCTTCCCTTGGCTAGAAAAGGGAAATCCCCCAACCCCTTGTGCTTCCTAAGTGAGGCCACGCCCTGCTCTACTTCAGCTTGCCCTCCGTGGGCTGCACCCACTGTCCAACCAGTCCCAATGAGATGAACCTGGTACCTCAGTTGGAAATGGAGAAATCACCTGTCTTCTGTGTTGATCTCGCTGGGAGCTGCAGACTGGAGCTGTTCCTATTTGGCCATCTTGGAAGCGACTCCGAGCACTTGACTTTTATACACACTTTAAAAAGGGGGTGGGCTAGCTTGAAGCAGGCTTACAGTTACAGTGGCACGAAAGCAAGGATACGGAGGCAGAACAATTAATTAAATTGTGACAGGTTTAGAACTCAGGATTACACATGACCGTTGCCAAGCAACCCAGATGTCTGTTATCTAGGTTTTGCTCAAAAGAGCCTTGCACTGGTTTATCTTATAACCTTCACTACGGTGCCCAGACAGCTGTAGTTCAGGTCTGCTCAGGCTTATCACAACCTTCACTGTACTTCTTAGATAAAACAGAATACTTGAAGTTACTAGTTACAGAGAACAAGAATCTATAAACTCATACCATAAAACAGAGGAAAATTTGTTTTTCCTCTCCCTATGTTGAGGGAGTGCTGGGGAGAGTCTCCAGAGCACATTCCTTTGTGTCTAGGCTTCTTAGATAGTATTATCAAGACTTTCGCTGGGTCTGGGCTGTGCCCATTGCTGCCTCTGGGACAAGTCAGCCTATTACAGGAAAGCTTATTTCTTTCTCTTTTTAATTTATTTTTCTTTATTTCTTTAATTTCTCACCTCATCACATGGCAGAAGACAAGAGAAGCATGAGAGCCAAGTGAAAGGGGTTTCCCCTTATAAAACGATGAGAACTTACTCACTACCACGAGAACAGTATGGGGGAAACCACAGCCATGATTCAATTATATCCCACCAGGTCCCTCCCACAACTTGTGGGAATTATGGGAGATACAATTCAAGATAAGATTTGAGTGTGGACAGAGCCAAACCATATAATTCCACCTCTAGCTCCTCCCAAATCTCATGTCCTCACATTCAAAACCAGTCATGCCTTCTCAACAGTCTCCCAAAGTCTTAACTCATTTCAGCATTAACTCAAAAGTCCACAGTCCAAAATCTCGTCTGAGACAAGGCAAGTCTCTTCTGCCTATGAGCCTGTTAAATCAAAAGCAAGTTAGTTACTTCCTAGATACATAGGAACTACAGACATTGGGTAAGTACACTCATTCCAAATGGGAAAAATTGGCCAAACAAAGGGGCTACAGGCCCCATGCAGGGCAGTCAAATCTTAAAGCTCCAAAATGATCCATTTTGACTGAGACATGTGACTCCATGTTTCACATCCAGGTCATGCTGATGCAAGAGGTGGGTTCCCATGGTCTTGGGCAGCTCTGTCCCTGTGGCTTTGCAAGGTAGAGCCTCCCTCCTGGCTGTTTTCACAGGCTGGTGTTGAGTGTCTGTGGCTTTTCCAGGCACATGGTGCAAGCTGTCAGTGGATCTACTATTCTGGGGTCTGGAGGACTGTGGCCCTCTTCTCACAGTTCCACTAGGCAGTGCTCCAGGAGGGACTCCATGTGGGGGCTCTAACCCCACATTGCCCTTCCACACTGTCCTCGCAGAGGTTCTCCATGAGGGCCTCGCCCCTGCAGCAAACTTCTGCTTGGGCATCCAGGCATTTCCACACATCCTCTGAAATATAGATGGAGGTTCCCAAACCCCAATTCTTGACTTCTGTGCACTTGCAGGATCAACACCACATGGAAGCTGCCAAGGCTTGTGGCTTGCACCCTCTGAAGACATGGCCTGAGCTCTACTTTGGCCCCTATCAGCCATGGCTGCAGCAGCTGGGATCCAGGGCACCAAGTCCCTAGGCTGCACACAGCATGGGGACCCTAGGCCTGGCCCACTAAAACATTTTTTTCTCCAAGGCCTCCAGGTGTGTGATTGGTGGGGCTGCCATGAAGACCTCTGACATGCCCTGGAGACATTTTCCTCATTGTCTTGGGGATTAACACTCAGCTCCAAGTTACTTATAAAAATTTCTGCACCCAGCCTGAATTTTTCCTCAGAAAATGGGATTTTCTTTTCTATTGCATTGTCAGGTTGCAAATTTTCTGAACTTATATGCTGTTTCCCTTTTAAAACTAAAAGTCTTTAACAGCACCCAAGTCACCTCTTGAAAGCTTTGCTGCTTAGAATTTTCTCCAACCAGATACCCTGAATCATCTCTCTCAAGTTCAATGCTCCACAGATCTCTAGGGCAGGGGCAAAATTCTGCCCGTCTCTTTGCTAAAACACATCAAGCGTCACCTTTACTCCAGTTCCCAACGAGTTCCTCATCTCCATCTGAGACCATGTCAGCCTGGATTTCATTGTCCATATGATTATCAGCATTTTGGTCAAAGTCATTCAACAAATCTCTAGGGAGTTCCAAACTTTCCCACATTTTCCTGTCTTCTTCTGAGCCCTCCAAACTGTTCCAACCTCTGCCTGCTACCCAGTTTCAAAGTTACTTCCACATTTTCAGGTATCTTTTCAGCAGAACCCCACTCTACTACTGGTACCAATTGACTGTATTAGTCTGTTTTCATGCTATTGATAAAGACATACCCAAGACAGGGCAATTTACAAAAGAAAGAGGTTTAATGAACTAACATTTCCACGTGGCTGGGGAGGCCTCACAATTATGGTGGAAGGTGAAAGGCACATTTCACATGGCAGCAGACAAGAGAAGAGTAAGAGCCAAAGAAAAGGGGTTTCCCCTTATAAAACCATCAGATCTCGTGAGACTTATTCACTACCATGAGAACAGTATGGGGGAAACCGCCACCATAATTCAATTATCTCCCACTGGGTCCCTCCCACAACATGTGGGAATTATGGGAGATACAATTCAAAATGAGATTTGGGTGGGGACAGAGCCAAACCATATCACAGGCCAAGCCAACTCTGATAAAAACAAAAACAAACACACTTTTCTTTGAGGAGAGGAGTTCAAAGTTCATTTGACTTCTTCAAGGAATTTTTCTATAAAAGTTTACCAGCACAGGTGGTTAAGAAAAGGCAAAACAGATGGTTGGGCAGCCTGCATTATCTCAGCATGGTGATGAAGTGGTCCTGCCTCAGCTGGCATCACTGCTGTAGAGTGGGGTTAGTTATGATGTGACACAGAAGTCCAATGGTGTGACACAATGAGGGATCCATCCCCTGCTTAGATTCTGAGCAGAAAGGGGCCCTGAGCACCAAATGCTGGATATGCAGGGAGATCACAAGCAATAGAGAACATACCAGGGCAAGGTGCAGAACTTAAAGACACCGACAGAGAATGAGCTGTAGCACTGTGCCACCAGTCCCATTAACTAATGAAATGGGTAGCCATAATATCTTGTAGGAATATTTAAAGGGAAAAAAGGGTGACCACAGAAATCAATACATGAACATTTGGTATTCAGCGACTACTTCATGTCCAAGCTGGTTTGGAATCTTAAATCAGAAGCCCACCTATATCAATACAGGTCAATTTTGACAGTCAGATAACTTAAATAAGCCTCATGAGCCTTGTGGGGAACACAGAACTGGAGACTCCTGATCCCACTGAAAGTGAGAAGCCACTACCCAAGGGCCACTGAGTGCTACCGTTGGGAACAAAGAACTCCTGGCACCAAATATTCAGATTTTTTTTGAAGCTAGAACCTCAATTTGTATGTGTAACCTCCAAGTTTTTTAACTTTGACTCAAATTCTTATAAATGCTGGTGCGAGGCAAACAAAACACATCTATTATGAGCCAACAGTTTGTGACCTCTGCATTTATGGTTCCCTTTCAAACCATATCCAATATCACCAGATCTCTATAAAAATCCCCCTTTCAAACAATCTGATCCCCATTCCCAGATACTTCATCCCCAGATTATCTCCTTCTGTCTTGTGTCTTTGAATGGAAGACTCTTTGCCAAACTTTTGATTCAGTCTCTCCTAAGATTTTCATTTCAAATCATCTTTCTTGACTCGGCCCACTGCAGTCTTTGAATGAGTGATCTTCCACCTTTGTGTTTGACCTTGGCATCCATGGAATACACCCCAATTCTGGGGCTTGGCATCTCTGTTACTGTTTTTGTGAAAGATTCTGAGCTAGGATGTGTGTGTGTGTGCACGTGCATGCATGTGTGTGTGTGTTTGAGTGTGTGTGTGTATTTCCTTAGCTATACTGTAATTAATAATTACAATTAGAGGTTCTCAACTTTTACTGCACATTACAATTACTTAGGAATGACTTAGGAATTATACAAATGCCTGGGCCCCACCCTAGAGATTCTGATGCAATTTGTCTGGATTATGCAATTTGGCATCAATACTTTTTAAATGTTTTCCAGTGATTTAAATGTGCAGCAGGGTTACAAACTACTGAAGGAAAGGCAGCAGAGCACACAATTCAGAGGGTAGACTTACCTCCGGGGCCACCTGACCTCCCATTCTGGTTTTATCATCCAATGGCTATGTGACCTCAGCCAAGTGTCTACAGTGTCTGAGGCTCCCTCAATCACACAAAACACATAACAGGCTGCTTCATGAGGCTGTGTGACAGTTAAATGAAGCACTGTTTGTGAAGTGCTTAGCAAGTATGCAATAAATAATGATTATTATTATTAGCAGCTGTGAGAATCTTATAACCATATATTATTTAACAATATTTTCAGTATTCTTGCTACTTAAAAAAAATTTTTAAACATCCATATTAAAGTCCTATTGAATTAGTCACACACACACACAAACATTTATATACACACATATAAACTAACTTAGTAAAATGTGTACTCATTTCAAAATACTGTTTCAATAAACCATTTTCACGACAGCATAGAAATTACAGTTAAAGAAACCCTTTGAGCATTGTGATATGTAGATACCTGAGCAGAATAATGTCATCAATTTGTTAAACATAGTTGCTGCCTGATATGGGTTTGTTGTGTCCCCACCCAAATCTCATCTTGAATTGTAGTTCCCATAATCCTCACATGTCATGGGAGGGACCTGGTGGGAGGTAATTTAATCATGGTGGCGGCTACCCTCATGCTGTTCTCATTATAGTGAGTGAATTCTCATAACATCTGATGGTTGTATAAGGGGCATTTCCCCCCTTGGCTCTGCACTTCTTCCTGCCACTATGTGAAGAAGGACGTGTTTCCTTCCCCTTCTGCCATGATTGTAAGTTTCCTGAAGCCTCCCTAGCCCTGCAGAACTGTGAGTAAATTAAACCTCTTTCATTTATAAATTACCCAGTCTTGGGTATTTTTTCATAGCAGTGTGAGAACAGACTAATACAGTAAATTGGTACCACAGAGAGTAGGGCACTGCTGTAAAGATATCAGAAAATGTGGAAGCACGATTGGAACTAGGTAATAGGCAGTGGTTGGAAGCATTCGGAGGGCTCAGAAGAAAGGAAAATGTGGGGAAGTTTGAAACTCCCTAAAGACTTGGAGGGTTCAGAAGACAGGAAGATGTGGGAAAGTTTGGAACTCCCTAGAGATTTGTTGAATGGCTTTGATCAAAATGCTAATAGTGATGTGAACAATGAAGTGCAGGCTAAGGTGGTCTCAGACAGAGATGAGGAACTTCTTGGGAACTGGAATAAAGGTGACTCTTGCTATGTTTTAGCAAAGAGACTGGTGGCATTTTGCCCCTGCTATTGAGATCTGTGGAACTTTGAACTTGAGCGAGATGATTTAGGGTATCTACTGGAAGAAGTTTCTAAGCAGCAAAGATTTCAAGAAGTGACTTGGATGCTGTTAAAATCATTCAGTTTTATGTATTCACAAAAATAGGCTTTGGAATTGGAACTTATGTTTAAATGGGAAGCAGAGCATTAAAGTTCAGAAAATTTGTAGCCTGACAATGTGATAGAAAAGAAAAACCCATGTTCTGAGGAGAAATTCAAGCTGGCTGCAGAAATTTGCATAACTAACAAGAAGCCAAATGTTAATGGCTAAGACAATGGGGAAAATGTCTCTAGGGCATGTCAGAGAACTTTGCGGCAGCCCCTCCCATCACAGGCCCAGAGGCCTAGTAGGAAAAAAATGGTTTTGTGGGCTGGCCCCAGGGCCTTGCTGCTTTGTGCCATCCTGGGACTTGATGCCGTGCATCCCAGCCATGGCCAAGGTACAGCTTGGGCTGTAGCTTCAGAGGGTGCAAGCCCCAAGCCTTGGCAGTTTCCTCATGGTGTTAAGCATGCAGGTGCACAGAAGTCAAGAACTGAGGTTTGGGAAACTCCACCTAGATTTCAGAGGATGTATGGAAATGCCTGATGTCCAGGCAGAAGTTTGCCGCCCTTATGAAGAATTTATGCTAGGGCAGTGCAGAAGGGAAATGTGCAGTTGGAGCCTCCACACAGAGTCCCTACTGGGGCACACCTAGTAGAGCTGTGAGAAGAGGGCCACCATCCTCCACACCCCAGAATGGTAGATCCACCAACAGTTTGCACCATGCACCTGGAAAAGCCACAGATACTCAATGCCAGCCCATGAAGCCAGCCAGGAGAGGGGCTGTACCCTGCAAAGCCACAGGGACAGAGCTGCCCAAAGTCATTGGAGCTCACCTCTTGCCTTGTCTCAGATGAGTCTTTAGGCTTGGACATTTTAGTTAATGCTGGAATGAGTTAAGACTTTTGGGTACTGTTGGAAGGGCATGATTGTGTTTAGAAATGTGAGGACATGAGATCTGGGAGGGGCTGGGGGCATAATGATATGGTTTGGCTGTGTCCTCACCCAAATCTCATCTTGAATTGTAGCTCCCATAATCCCCATATGTCATAGGAGGAACCCAGGGGGAGGTAATTTAATCATGCAGGTGGTTACCTTCATGCTGTTCTTGTGATAGTGAGTGAGTTCTCACAAGATCTGGTGGTTTTATAAGAGGCTTTTCCAGCTTTGCTCAGCAATTCACTTTCCTGCTACCATGTGAAGAAGAACATGTTTGCTTCCCTTTCCACAATGATTGTAAGTTTCCTGAGGCCTCCTCAGCCCTGCAGAACTGTGAGTTAATTAAACCTCTTTCCTTCATAAATTAGCCAGTTTTGGGTATTTCTTAGAGCAGCATGAGAATAGAGTAATACAATGCCTGAGCATCCATTTCTAGGCCTGACATAAATTGTTTGAAACCCAGTAGTACCTGGTCACCTTTGACCTGGTTAAAACTTACCCTCCTTTTGTGGTATTTGTGATAAAGCCTGCTTGTTCCTCATCCCACTGACCCTAAATCCAATACATCCCACAGCTGGTGAACAGGATAAAAACTAACCATCAGCCAGGCACAGTGGCTCATGCTTGTAATCCCAGCACTTTGGGAGGCTGAGGCTGGTGGATCACGAGGTCAGGAGATCGAGACCATCCTGGCTAACACGGTGAAACCCCATCTCTACTAAAAATACAAAACAAAAAAAAAATTAGCCAGGTGTGGTGGTGGGCGCCTGTAGTCCCAGCTACTAGGGAGGCTGAGACAGGAGAATGATGTGAACCCAGGAGGCAGAGCTTGCAGTGAGCTGAGATTGTGCCACTGCAGTCCAGCCTGGGCAACAGGTGAGACTCTGTCTCAAAAAAACAAAACAAACAAAAAAAACTAACCATCAACACCAGAGTCATGAAGTCATGTAAATGAGTTTCCCAGCTTGCACACATTTTCTTTAAACCAGCCAATCCACAAGCTCCACAGAAAAGCCTAAGAAATCACATCCACAGACCCTAATAAAGGCCTAGTCCCACTGGTCCTCTCTCCCTCTCTCTGTGCCCCCTCTTCACCTGCTGGTTGAGCTCCCCGCTGCCTCTGGACTTTCCATCACCTGCCTCTTCCCTCAGCACTCCTAATATCTCTGGACCTGTGGGTAATAAATTTCTTCTGTTTTATGTATTTTGGTTTTGTCTCCTCATTGTGTCTCACCTGACTGACACACCCAAATCTAATTTTTCTCCCAGTCAGGGCTCTCCTAGAGAGGAGCTATCTTGGCTAAAGGAAACTTTTGACAGAGAGACCTCAAGACCAAATTGATATAATAGAAGTCATGACAAATAGGGGAATCTAGGGGAATCCATCATTTAAGAAATGTAGATAGAAATGGTGGCAGCATATTTTTTAACCTCTTCTATCTCCTCCATAAAAGTAATAAAAGAAAGTAGGAAGGCAAAGCAGAAAGTTAAAGTTCAATATTTACACTATAATTAGGTTGGCAAGATGTCCCACAGAGTCCAGAATCCAAACAGGTGCATAACAAACCCGGGCAGCTACAAGTTCTGTGTGGCATCATTACCTGGACCAAGGGAAGTTGAAGGTAGCAACATGGCATCTGATGGACCCAAGAAATCCAAAATATCCATCAGTGGATCACTTGAAAAGCTCCGCAGGCAACTTAGAGAAGAGCAGATGAAACTGGAAGGGATTAGCACAGCCCAACAACAGATAAATTGAAGGGGCCCCAAGAAAGGTCTGAAGTAGATAAAATGGTCGTTCTCAAAACAGCCAATGCTCCCTTCAGTCCTGTTTCACACTGAAGAGAAACAGGATCTACAGAATTTGACCATAAGTGATAGAAAAAAAGGCAAAAAACAGGATCCAAATTGAACAGGACAAGGACAATGGACACAAATGAAAAAGAAGTACAGATAAACGTGGGGCACAGGAATTGAACCAGGAAATATTAAAAAGCAAATTGCCATATTATTGGCCACGCTACAAAATCATTAGAAGAAGAAAGTCTGTAAAGTTAGCAAGAGCTCTCTTAAACCCTCTCATTTTAAAAGTTGAGGAACACTAATTTCACATAAAAATAATAAATAAAAAAGATTGAGGTCAAAGAGATAAAGAAACAGAATAAGACTATTCAGAAAATGTCTGAGTCCCAGAAAGACAGAAGGAAAACATTCCTTAATATTTCAAAATGAGCAAAAAGACATCAAAAAAAGATAAAATATATAAAAAGAAAATATGCATCTGAAATAGAAAATATCAGAAAGGTGACAAAACTCAATAAAGAATTAGAAATATAGACAAATCATTTCAGAAATGAAGACTAAGTTAGAAGGAACACAAAAGAAAATAAACATAATAGATAATGCCTTAAGACAAATAGAACACTAAAAAGTTAAAATTTTAAAATGAAGAGAAAGATAAGTTGGATTAGGCAGAAAGTAACAAATACAAAAGATAGGTGAAGAAAATGCAATTAATGAATAATAGATATTCCTGCAGAACAAATTAAAGCAAGAAAACAGAACAAGCATTGTTTTCCTGAAATAAAGAGATTTAAAACTACCTATACATTTGTAAGGTACCTCATGTCTGTTTCTAGTGAGGGGCTCTGGCTGCTTCCACTCATGGCAAAAGGTGAACGGGAGCCTGTGTGTACAGAGATCACATGGTGAGAGAGAAAGCAAGAAAGAGGAGGAGGTGCCAGGCTCTTTTCAAAACCAGCTCTCAGGGGGAATTCTCATGGGAACTAACAGAGCAAGAACTCATTCATTATTGCAAAGACAGCACCAGAGTTTCCTAGGATCCAAACACTTCCCATCATACCCACCTCCAATGCTGGAAATCAAATTTTAAATGAGATATCAGGGCCACTATGTCCAAATCATAGCACAGGACTTTCTTAATACTCCTGAAGTCATACCAAATAAGTAATTCCAACTGCAACAAACTATCACTCAAACAAAAGAAAATCAGTAGGATTGACATGGTTTGGTTGTGTCCCCACCCAAATCTCATCTTGAATGTTAGTTCCTGTAATCCCCACATGTGGTGGGAGAGACCGGGTGGGACGTAATCGTATCATGGTGGAGGGAGGTTTCGTCCATGCTATTCTTGTGATAGTAAGTTCTCACAAGATCTAATGGTTTTATAAGGGGCTTCCCTTTCACTTGACTCTCATTCTTCTCCTTCCTGCTGCCGTGGGAAGGGACATGTTTGCTTCTCCTTCTGCCATGATTGTAAGTTTTCTGAGGCCTCCTCAGCCATGCTGAACTGTGAGTCAATTAAACCTCTTCCCTTTATAAATTATCCAGATGGGTATATCTTTATTAGCATCATGAGAACAAACTAATACAGTAAATTGGTACTGGGTACTGGGCAGTGGGGATAATGTAAAGATACCCCAAAATGTGGAAGTGACTTTGGAACTGGGTAACAGGGAGAAGTTGGAACAGTTTGGAGGGCTCAGAATACGACAGGAAAATATGGGAAAGTTTGGAACTTCCTAGAGACTTGCAGGGCTCAGAAAACAGGAAGATTTGGGAAATTCTGGAACTTCCTAGAGACTTGTTGAATAGCTTTAACCAAAATGCTGATAGTGATATGAACAATAAAGTCCAGACTGACGTGGTCTCAGATAGAGATGAGAAACTTGTTGGGAACTGGAGCAAAAGTGACTCTTGTTATGCTTTTGCAAAAAGACTAATGACATTTTGCCCGTGCTCTAGAGATCTGTGAAAATGAACTTGAAAGAGATGATTTAGGATATCTGGCAGAAGAAATTTCTAAGCAGCAAAGCATTCAAGAGGTGACAGAGCATAAAGTTTGGAAAATTCACAGCCTGACTATGCAGTAGAAAAGAAAAACCCATTTTCTGGATAGAAATTCAAGCTGGCTGCAGAAATTTGCATAAGTAATGAGAAGCCAAATGTTAATTTCAAGACAATGGGGGAAATGTCTCTAAGGCATGTCAGAAACCTTTATGGCAGCCTCTCCCATCACAGGCCCAGATGCCTTGGAGGAAAAAATGGTTTCGTGGGCTGGGTCCAGGGCCCCCTGCTGCATGCAGTCTAGGCACTTGGTGCCCTGTATCCCAGCCACTCCAGCCATAACTAAAAGGGGCCAAGGCAGTACAGTTTGGGTCACAGCTTCAAAGGGTGCAAGCTCTGAGCCTTGGCAGTTTCCACATGGTGTTGGTCCTATGGATGCACAGAGGACAAGAATTGAGGTTTGAGAACCTTTGCCAAGATTTCAGAGGATGTATGGAAATGCCTGGATATCCAGGCAGAGGTGTGCTGCAGGGGTGGAGCCCTCATGGAGAACTTCTGCTAGGGCAGTACAGAAGGGAAATGTGGGGTTGAAGTCCTCAAACAGAGTCCCCACTGGGGCACTGCCTAGTAGAGCTATGAGAAGAGGGCCATCGTCCTCCAGACCCCGGAATGGTAGATCCACTGACAACTTGCCCCATGAGCCTGGAAAAGCCACAGACACTCAATGCCAGCCATGAAAGCGGTCAGAAAGGGGGCTGTATCCTGCAAAGCCACAGGGGCAGAGCATCCCAAGGTCATGGGAGACCACCTCTTGCATCAGCATGACCTGAATGTGAGACATGGAGTCAAAGGAGATCATTTTGGAGCTTTAAGATTAAATGACTGCCCTATTGGATTTCAGACTTGCATGGGGCCTGTAGCCCCTTTTGTTTTAGCCAATTTCTTCCATTTAGAATGGATGTATTTACCCAATGTCTGTATCCCCATTGTATCTAGGAAGTAACTAACTTGCTTTTGATTTTAGAGGCTCATAGGCAAAATGGACTCACCTTGTCTCAGATGAGACTTTGGACTTAGACTTTTGAGTTTATGCTGGAATGAGTCAAGACTTTGGGGGACTGTTGGGAAGGCATGATTATGTTTTGAAATGTAGAAAGGAAGTAAGATTTGGGAGGGGCCAGGGGCAGTATGATATGGTTTGTCTGTGTCCTCACCCAAATCTTATCTTGAATTGTAGTTCCCATAATCCCCACATGTCATGGGAGGGACTCAGTGGGAAGTAATTTAATAATGGGACAGTTTCCCACAAGCTATTCTCATAATAGTTAAGTTTTCATATGATCTAACAGTTTTATAAGGGGCTTCCTCCTTGACTCAGCTCTCATTCTTCTCCTTCCTGCCACCATGTGAAGAAGGACATGTTTGCTTTCCTTTCCACTGTGATTGTAAATTTCCTGAGGCCTCCCCAGCCATGCTGAATTGTAAGTCAATTAAACCTCTTTTTTTTTTTTCATAAATTATCTAGTCTCAGGTACGTCTTTATTAGCACTATGAGAAAAGACTAATACAAGGATGTTATATGTCATGGTGATGTTTTATCAGGCAGCACCTTTCCTATTTTTACCACCAGAAAACACAAAATAAGCACATTATTTCTATATGGGAACAAGTTAACCCTTGTCAGAAAGTAGAAGTTATTCTTGTTCTGCCAAGTGCTTGATTTTTGCACAGAAATTCAGAAGAAAAAGCAGAGGTAGAAAGATGATGCACAGAGAAGACAGTTACAGAGACACTGAGACAGAGAAAGCGGGCTTAGGGACATGTGATGTGTTGTAACAGACACTGAAAACCAGATTCTATTTTCATGACCCTTGGCACAGACATCACACCACTAACACTGGCACCAAGTCAGAATTGTAGCTGGCTGAAGGAAATATATCAAAGGTCAGAGACACATTATTGCAATCACATTAGAGGCACATTAGAGCACAATTAGAGGCACATTAGAGTTATGGAAACCTATTTGAAGTCTTCCCACAATCCATTAGAGTGGTACACCTCCAGGCCATATCACCCCCTCATTGGCATATAAACATAATTATCTGCTTATTGAATTTGAGTATACTGAAAGCTCTGTCCCATTCTGTTTATATTTAATCAATTTTCTGCAAAGATAAAAATTATAAGAGTAGGAACTGTGTGTGTGTGTGTGTGTGTGTGCGCGCGCGCGTGTGTGTATGTGTGCCTGTTTTGCAGTAGCTGGAGGAGGAAGGTGCTAGGAATGGGATCTTCCAATGGTTCTAAAACGTGGCTGCACACTAGAATCATTTGGGAAAATTTTAAGAATCCCAATGTCCATGCTCTCTGGACTCAAACCAAGCTAGTCAGAATCTCCAAGATAGGGAGGCAGCAGTAGTATTTAAAACTCCCTTGGTGATTTGCATGCATAGCCAAGGTTGTAAACCATTGTTTCCTCTCTGTCCCACTCATCTAACTTCTTGTTCATCTCCAAAACTATAAAAGCATGCCTTACTAACTCCTATATTTTAAAATCTTCCTTTGATTGGGGTTGAGACTCGGGACTACAGATTGAGTTTCCTTAAATTCACCATGGTATAGATTATGTTCTTCTAACTGCTTATTTTATTTATTAGTTCACTTTTTTTAGAGATCAAGTCTCACGTTGTCACCCAGGCTGGAGTGTAATGGTGCGATCATAGCTCACTGCAGTCTCGAACTCCCACCTCAGCCTCCTGAGTAGCTAGAACCACAGGTGCGTTCCACCATGCACAGCTAATTTTTTTAAAACAAATTTTTAGAGATGGGGTTTCGCATCTTGCCCAGGCTGCTCTCAAACTCCTGGCCTCAAGCGATCCTCCCATCTCAGCCTCCCAAAATGCTGGGCTACAGACATGAGCCACCACACCCAGCCTATTTGTTTTAATATAATAGAGCAGTCAAATAAAAAAAAAATTGGTTTCTAAAGGTAAGATGATTGGCCTAAAGCAGGAGTCATGGCTGCATCCTCTCTGGTCGTGTGGGTCCCATTCATTCTTTGCTTTGATGTACTATTGTCTGGTGTGCCCATCTCATCTCTCCAAAGAGGCTGCAAACTCCCTGAGGCGAGGCCACATCTGCCACCTGGGTCCTTCCCTCCACTTTGCATCATGCCTCATACACAGTGGGCACTCTACGGCCTTCTGATTTCACTAGGATATGTCACTCCCATTGAATAGCAACATTTAAAAACACTTTTAAAGTTTAATGTGCTTTCCTACTGCCTCAGTACATTTTTGTTCACATTTCTAACATAATCCTGACATAACTGCCTTCTCCACACACCCCTCTTGTGGTTTTCACCATACCTTACACCACAAACTCTACCTCTCCAGAATGTTTCCCCTTGGATTGGTTTCCATGGAAACCTGTCTCTGGGGGAGAAAAGTGTGTGTTTGCTGAAGGAGAACCATAAAGGCAGGTTGCCTCCTGGTGTAAAGAAGTCACCAAGGGAGATGGAGAGGGAGTTGAAGCAGAATTGCACCAACTCTAGTGGGAAGCTAATGCACTTCATGCCAGTTCAATCCTGTAGACACAGGGAGAGATTTGAAATCCCAACTCAAGGCAGAGGCAAATTAATAGGGTTGCCTTGTCACACTGAATTAAGCCTTCCAGTTTAGAATACTCCTATTCCAGGTCACTCAGTCTTCAGTGGGTGAGGCGGGGGGCGGGGGGCGGTAGGAGGAGAGGAGACTATACTGAGATTGTCAGTGGAGAGTGAGCCAAGGTGGCCCCAAGCAAGGCATGGGGCCTACTACTTAGAACAGAGGTTGGGGTGCAGTCCCCACACATGCCCACAAGGGGTCACAGTGATTCAAAATAAGGCTATTCCTCACCGCCTTCATGAGAAAAAACAAGAAACTGCCTTAGAGCTAGCAGTCTTCAAAGATACAAGAATCTCCTTGGTACATCAGAAAACAAGCTATGAGAGGGGGTGCAGAGGCCATGTGAGCAGAGCCTCCAAGTCTACTTGAGATGTGCGTACTATTCAGTAGGAGCCACAATTTAAGATGGAATGCCATAGATGTGTTACAAGTTTACTACACAGGAACAGGGATTGGTGACAAACTTTTCAATAAGCCACTCCAGTTACATGAAGTTACTCTCCCTGTTTCTTCTGATCAATCATTTAATAAACACTCGTGAAGCTTCCACCTAACCGTACACATGCAATGTGCAAGATGCTGAGAAATTAAAGAAAGTAAAGAATATTGGAGACCTCCCCTCCAGGAGCTCAAAATCTAAATGTGGAGATCGTTTTATAACCAAAGATGGTAATGGTTGTGGGATCACTCAGCTATTGGGGTGACCTATTTATCTGCACAAGTACTCCTGAAGGGAAACAATGACTTAGAGCACTAGTGTTTATTCTCAAACAAGGGTCCACAAGAGATGTTCCTAATTTGGGGAACTATCCTAGAAAAAAAAAACCACACACTTGCCTTTAAGTGATGTCAAGGTTCATAAGCTTCACTGTGACACAAGGTCTTGTGTTGGTCTCCCAAAATTGTTATTGTTCTCCCAGCAATATTCCAATGGTCCACCAAACAAGCTGGGACTTTGGACACCAAATCAGTTAAGCCTCATTTTTTAAGCCCTTTGTACCATGTAAGGCCTGAGCACTTTAGCAAGTCAGGAGACTAAAGTTTAGAAATCAAAATTCAATTTACTATGCATAAAATAGTCAACTGGAGTGGACCTCAAATAGGTTCTAAATCTGTAACACTCAAATTCCAAGTCCTGATTTTTATATATTTTATGTATTTATCATATTAAATTATATATTATATTAAAATTAACTGGATTTTAATATAATTGACTCTGCCTCTCTTTGACCCCTTGTTTTGCTTCCTCCTTCAACTGCCTTTTCTGCTCTCCCATTCTCACAGTAACTATGACCATTTGGTCTACTATATACAATGTTTTTATTTATTTTATTTATTTCCATTTATTATTGTACTGTTGATGTTACCAAAACTCCAGAGGTTTGGTCTAGGCCCTGATTCTTGCTGCACAGAAAGCCAATCACTGAGATGCCAAGTATTGCCAAGGAAGAAGTATTAACTAGGTGCTGCAGCCAGGGAGATGGGAGCTCAGTCTCAAATCCATCTCCTTGACTTACCAAAACTAGGGGTTTATAGAGCACCGAGGAAATGTAACAATGTGTAAGAAAACAGGAACTAGGGTGGGGCAAGGAGGTGTTTGGTGCAGTGATCTGCTGAGTTTCAGTTCTTTGATACTTCCCGAAGGTCCTTTCCTGAGGAAGGAACTCATAAAACAGATACAAGTTTCAAGCTTTAACAGCAGAAGGGTGTTTCTATGTTTATCCCAAAACAACTGTCTATGGGACTATTGGGCCCATTTCATTGAGGAGATATTGCCATGGTGATACTGAAACATGTTTGTACCAAGATTTGGCTACAATAAACTTACAGGTTCTTAGCATGCCTTCTAGGGCCATTTCATCTATTTCTGAGATTCAGTAAATCCAAAGAGTGGTTGGGTATCCTTCTATCTCCTGCATCTGTGTGTTTTACAGGTGAAGCAAAGCCAAATCTACTAGATTTGAGGACTTAGCAATACATAGTTCAGGGGAAGAACCTTTTGAAGATTTTTGTGGTTGACATGAACCTACTTGCCCAACATATTCCTGAAGGCTTCCCATCTAGCCATGAGATTGGCATGGAGGGATAGTTATGGGAGTGACCTTAGGTGGTGTTATCCAAATTTCCTTCAATTCAACTGTTGAGAAATTCCATTTCATAGGAATCAGCTATAAGCAGGGGCTGCACAAGTGAAAGAATATATTGACTACTGCGTAGGAACTGTAAGTTCTTGCCACCTGATTCTTAGAAGAGTTGCACTTATTAATTTGGAAGGAAAGTCTGGCCCTCACCAAATCACCCCATTGGTAATAACTGGAGGAAAAAAGAGAAAGAAAATAATGATAAAGATAATAGTAGAACTCTCATTTGGCCAGTCATACTTATTGCAGGCCTACTCTATGCCAGGCACTGGGTAGGTACCAGAGGCCACAGAATTGTCACTTTGGGCTGATAAGAAGGCAGAAAGTCAAGAACTGTACAGCAAGAACATCTTTAAGACTGCAGAGGCAAGGCAAAATCAGAACCCAGAATAAATGGAAGATAAAAAAGGGCTTAGAGAAGCTGGAGCTCCCTGGAGAGTGGTGCCACGGGTAACTCTGAGTATGTCCAGATGGCCTGAGGAAATGGGAGACAAATGGATAATTCTAATTCAGTGTGGCCAGTGCTATTTATAGAGGCAGGAACAGGGTGGTGTGCGAGCACAAAGAAGAGAAGTTATTCCCTCATCCTCAGGGAGAAGATAGCAAGAAAGTCATGAGTTTTGCATTTAACAGTGATGGCCCCTGATGGCCATGTGGAACCCCAGGAGGCAGATGAGACTTGCTCAGAAAGTTGCAGAGATACTGCTTGTGGCACCATGGGATCTGTCAATGGCCTGCAGAGGTGCTCAGGTGAAGGCAAACCTACTGTTTCAAACTCTTACAAAAATTGCTGTTGGATGTCCAGGAAAATAGTGTTCACAGGCAAAAAGCACAGGTTTAAAGAGGAAAATCTACATGCAAACATGGCCTAAAAGTATTTAACTCCTGGGTCTCTGCCACCACCTTTCAATTATCTGAAAAGGAATCCCTTGCTCTTTAATTACAGTGCTTTGGAGTCCACAGGGCTTTCCAATATAGTTACTTCATGTGGTTGGAATCAGGGCCCTTCCTTGGAATAAAAGTGTAATTTAAAACACTAGGAACAAGAAAGGGAGCTAGGAAAGCCATGGGGCCCCCAGCTCTGCACCCTTAGGCACTCGCTGCTGTGCCTGCTACAGAGGAGTTCAAGTAGGGGATCCATGACCTCCCCATAGAGGAAACTCTAAGGGGCAATGCTGGCCAGTTTGCTGTTTAGATTTAAATAACACATAACATTGTACCCAAGAGCCTTCCCAGGAAAAAGTAAATGAAAATCATTTTCTAAAGTCTGAAAATGGCCAGGCACAGTGGCTCACAACTGTGAGGCAGAGGCAGGAGGATCCCTTGAGCCCAGGAGTTCGAGACCAGCTGAGGCAGTATAGTGAGACCTCATCTCTACAAAAAATTTAAAAATTAGCCAGGTGTGGTGGTATGTGCATGTAGTCTCAGCTACTTGGGAGGCTGAAGTAGGAGGATCACTTGAGCTTAGGAGGTTGAGGCTGTAGTGAGCTGAGACAGTATCACTGCACTTGAGTCTGGGTAACAGAGAGAGAAAGAGAGAGACGCTGTCTCAAAAAAAAAAAAGTCTGAAAGCAACTGTGGGAAAGCAGGGTACATGAACAGATTCTCCAGCAAAATGTGCAGAAGAGAAAAAATAAGAAGAATGGGAGAAGGAAGGAAGAGAGGAAGGAAGGAAGGAAGGAAGGACGAAGGTAGGAAGGGAGGGAGGAAGGGAGGGAGGGAGGAAGGGAGGGAGGGAGGGGAGGGGGAAGGGAGGGAGGAAAGGAGGGAGGATGAAACTGAAGTTAACTTTGCACACATATATAAAATAAGCAAAACCCATATGTCTATGTCAAGAATAATGTTTATTGCAGATTAACAACAACATAACCACCTATAAAAAACAGTTAACAGAAAAGCTTAAGACTGATTCTGTCAAAGATTTACCACATAGTTTGCAGTCACAGCTTATTCTACACTCTCTGTAGCCTAACTAAGCTACACTCAGGGCAGAGGAAGAGCACATGGTAGAGCTCAGAAACAACTGAAAGCAAAAATCGGACAGAATCAGAGTTCTTAAAGGATAAGCCATTTCCATTATGCTCAAAACTCGACCAAATGATATATTAGATGGTTCTTCTTGACCTTTAATTTTTCTGGCCTTCACTGTATCAGGCCTCCTCCCTGATATTAATACCACCTTCTGTAATTGTATGGTCACTTCTTTTTTTATATTTTTTACCTCTATTTTAGTAATGTGTAGTTCTCTCAGACAGACAGAAATACAAAGTACTAAGATACGAAATCTACGTGAAGGCTATTTTCCTGGTTTTGCTTACTCGAGACTTTAGCATTTTTAATTATAATTGTTGAGGTAGGGTCTGTAGGATCCAGACATTACATATAATAATTATCATAGCAATTAAAAAAAAACTCAAGACTTTAAGTAGACAATAAAAGTATTAGTTGACAATGATTACACTTACAACTGTCATAAGAATTATATTCATTCAATATGATTATAAGAAATATACAGGAAGCTCTGAAATGAATTTTTAATCCCTCCAAAGGAACTAGAGATAATTACCTGAGCGACTACCGAGTGTTTATCACCCACATTGCTCCCCCATGCTCTGATCTGAAGAATGACTGATCAGAAAGTTCTAGGCCATATTGTTTCAGTGAGGTAAAGGAGTGGAAGATGAAAGGAACATATAACTTTTCAGACTGATAGAAAAGTAGAAAAATACATGAAATTAACTAATTATGAAATCAACTAAGTAGACTGTGAAATCAATGCATAGTACCTCAGTTTGCTACAGTAGAAGCACAACTTTTTCTGCAAGGTGCAATAAAACCCAAGAAGGACCCTAAGGGGCACCATGTAAATAACAACCGATTGTCTGCACTCTTTTCCTTCTCCAGTTTTGTTTCATTTTTTTCATGATGGACCTGCTTGTGTGATAGTTAAGCAAGGAGCTAAAGACCACAGCATGAAGGAAAATCCACATTATCTCAAGTGAAGCAGGTCTAAAGTCACAGGAGGAAAATGATGCTGTGCTGAGTGTGAGGGTAAAGGACCAGGTGACATGAATCTAGGGGCAGGAGCCAGGAGAATCAAAACAAGGGCAGAATGCTAAGGCTAAGATGTGACAGCACACAGCAGGAGACAACGTTCAGGATCACTGGAGGGTTTTGGAGGTCTGTTCTTATGTCAACCTGCTATGTGACACTTTAGAAAGCTGAATGACTTCAATGACTTTAAAAAGCTGAATGCCTCAGGCCAGGCATGGTGGCTCATGCATGTAATCCCAGCACTTTGAGAGACTGAGGTGGGAAGATTGTTTAACGTCGGGAGTTTGAGAGCAGCCTGGGCAACAGAATGAGACCCCACTTCTACAAAAAATTTAAAAATTAGCCAGGCATGGTAGCATGTGCCAGTAGTCTCAGCTATTTGGGAGGCTGAGACAGGAGGATTGCTTGAGCTTGGGAGTTTGAGGTGGCAGTGAGCTATGACTACACCACTACACTCCAGCCTGGGGACATTAAAAAAAAATTGCTGAGTGCCTCAAAGGCAGACAAATAGAACAATGGAACAGAATAGACATTATTTGGGAGGTGTAGGGAAGTGAGACAGGGAGGGAGTAGCCTGTAAAGGGTGAAATAGCTGAGCCAGCTACAACAATGGGCTATGGAACTATTTCCCATGGGAAAACTGTGGGAAAAGGTCTAAATTTTGTCTTAGAATTACCCCACCTGAGGAGGCGGGAGCTGTGATTTCATGAGCCAACCCTTCTTTGGCTTTTGCTATGAGCTGCTCCCACGGGATGCTGAATCCCAGCACTTTTAGCCTGTGTGGTTCTGTAAAAGTCATCAGGAAGAGAGCTAAAATAATGGCAGTTGGAAGTCATCAGGAACACAATGATAAGGTAGACTACATGTATGTTACATTTGGTATATGAAAGTGGTAACCCTACAAACAAGTGAGAAAAACAATGGACTCTTCAATAAATGATGTTGAGACAAATGACTACCCATATGGCAAAAGATAAAATCAGTTCCCTATCTCACACCATATGCAAAAATGAAGTCCAGATGGATTAAAGAGCTAGATGAAAAAAAAAAGAAAGAAAGAAAATATGTAAAAAAATTATGGGCAAATATCTTTGTGACCTCCAGATATGGAAGGGTTTCTTAAAGGATGAAGATCACAAACAATAAAGAAAAACTACATATTGGGACTTTGGAAGATGGCCGAATAGGAACAGCTCCAGTCTACAGCTCCCAGTGTGAGCGACACAGAAGACGGGTGATTTCTGCATTTCCAACTGAGATACTGGGTTCATCTCACTGGGGAGTGCTGGACAGTGGGTGCAGCGCACTGTGTATGAGCCGAAGCAGGGCAAGGCATCGCCTCACCCGGGAAGTGCAAGAGGTCAGGGAATTCCCTTTACTAGTCAAAGAAAGGGGTGACAGACGGCACCTGGAAAATCGGGTCACTCCCACCCTAATACTGTGCTTTTCCAACGGGCTTAGCAAATAGCACACCAGGAGATTATATCCTGCACCTGGCTCGGAGGGTCCTACGCCCACGGAGCCTCCCTCATTGCTAGCACAGCAGTCTGAGATCAAACTGCAAGGTGGCAGCGAGGCTGGGGGATGGGCGCCCGCCATTGCCGAGGCTTGAGTAGGTAAACAAAGGGGCCAGGAAGCTCCAACTGGGTGGAGCTCACCACAGCTCAAGGAGGCCTGCCTGCCTCTGTAGGCTCCACCTCTGGGGGCAGGACACAGACAAACAAAAGGCAGCAGTAACCTCTGCAGACTTAAATGTCTCTGTCTGACAGCTTTGCAGAGAGTAGTGGTTCTCCCAGCACGCAGCTTGAGATCTGAGAACGGGCAGACTGCCTCCTCAAGTGGGTCCCTGACCCCAGAGTAGCCTAACTGGAAGGCACCCCCCAGTAGGGGCGGACTGACACCTCACATGGCCGGGTACTCCTCTGAGACAAAACCTCCAGAGGAACGATCAGGCAACAGCGTTTGCGGTTCACCAATATCTGCTGTTCTGCAGCCACCGCTGCTGATACCCAGGCAAACAGGGTCTGGAGCGGACCTCCAGCAAACTCCAACAGACGGGCAGCTGAGGGCCCTGACTGTTAGAAGGAAAACTAACAAACAGAAAGGACATCCACACCAAAACCCCATCTGTACGTCACCATCATCAAAGACCAAAGGTAGATAAAGCCACAAACATGGGGAAAAAACAGAGCAGAAAAACCAGAAACTCTAAAAATCAGAGCGCCTCTCCTCCTCCAAAGGAACGCAGCTCCTCAACAGCAACAGAACAAAGCTGGATGGAGAATGACCTTGACGAGTTGAGAGAAGAAGGCTTCAGAAGATCAAACTACTCCAAGCTGAAGGAGGAAGTTCGAACCAATGGCAAAGAAGTTAAAAACCTTGAAAAAAAATTAGACGAATGGCTAACTAGAATAACCAATGCAGAGAAGTCCTTAAACGACCTGATGGAGCTGAAAACCATGGCACAAGAACTACGCGACGAATGCACAAGCCTCAGTAGCTGATGTGATCAACTGGAAGAAAGGGTATCAGCCATGGAAGACAAAATGAATGAAATGAAGCGAGAAGAGAAGTTTAGAGAAAAAAGAATAAAAAGAAACGAACAAAGCCTCCAAGAAATATGGGACTATGTGAAAAGACCAAATCTACGTCTGACTGGTGTACCTGAAAGTGACGGGGAGAATGGAACCAAGTTGGAAAACACTCTGCAGGATATTATCCAGGAGAATTTCCCCAATCTAGCAAGGCAGGCCAACATTCAGATTCAGGAAATACAGAGAACGCCACAAAGATACTCCTCGAGAAGAGCAACTCCAAGACACGTAATTGTCAGATTCACCAAAGTTGAAGGAAAAAATGTTAAGGGCAGCAAGAGAGAAAGGTCGGGTTACCCTCAAAGGGAAGCCCATCAGACTAACAGCGGATCTCTCGGCAGAAACCCTACAAGCCAGAAGAGAGTGGGGGCCAATATTCAACATTCTTAAAGAAAAGAATTTTCAAACCCGAATTTCATATCCAGCCAAACTAAGCTTCATAAGTGAAGGAGAAATAAAACACGTTACAGACAAGCAAATGCTGAGAGATTTTGTCACCACCAGGCCTGCCCTAAAAGAGCTCCTGAAGGAAGCACTAAACATGGAAAGGAACAACCGGTACCAGCCACTGCAAAAACATGCCAAATTGTAAAGACCATCAAGGCTAGGAAGAAACTGCATCAAATAATGAGCAAAATAACCAGCTAACACCATAATGATGGGATCAAATTCACACATAACAATATTAACCTTAAATGTAAATGGACTAAATGCTCCAATTAAAAGACACAGACTGGCAAATTGGATAAAGAGTCAAGACCCATCAGTGTGCTGTATTCAGGAAACCCATCTCACGTGCAGAGACACACACAGGCTCAAAATAAAGGGATGGAGGAAGATCTACCAAGCAAATGGAAAACAAAAAAAAGGCAGGGGTTGCAATCCTAGTCTTGGATAAAACAGACTTTAAACCAACAAAGATCAAAAGAGACAAAGAAGGCCATTACATAATGGTAAAGGGATCAATTCAACAAGAAGAGCTAACTATCCTAAATATATATGCACCCAATACAGGAGCACCCAGATTCATAAAGCAAGTCCTTAGTGACCTACAAAGAGACTTCGACTCCCACACAATAATAATAGGAGACTTTAACCCCCCACTGTCAACATTAAACAGATCAATGAGACAGAAAGTTAACAAGGATATCCAGGAATTGAACTCAGCTCTGCACCAAGCAGACCTAATAGACATCTACAGAACTCTCCACCCCAAATCAACAGAATATACATTCCTTTCAGCACCACACCACACCTATTCCAAAACTGACCACATAGTTGGAAGTAAAGCACTCCTCAGCAAGTGTAAAAGAACAGAAATTATAACAAACTCTCTCAGATCACAGTGCAATCAAACTAGAACTCAGGATTAAGAAACTCACTCAAAACTGCAGAACTACATGGAAATTGAACAACCTGCTCCTGAATGACTACTGGGTACATAACGAAATGAAGGCAGAAATAAAGATGTTCTTTGAAACCAATGAGAACAAAGACACAACATACCAGAATCTCTGGAACACATTCAAAGCAATGTGTAGAGGGAAATTTATAGCACTAAATGCCCACAAGAGAAAGCAGGAAAGATCTAATACGGACACCCTAACATCACAATTAAAAGAACTGAAGAAGCAAGAGCAAACACATTCAAAACCTAGCAGAAGGCAAGAAATAACTAAGATCAGAGCAGAAATGAAGGAAATAGAGACACAAAAAACCCTTCAAAAAATCAAGGAATCCAGGACCTGGTTTTTTGAAAAGATCAACAAAATTGATAGACTGCTAGCAAGACTAACAAAGAAGAAAAGAGAGAAGAATCAAATAGACGCAATAAAAAATGATAAAGGGGATATCACCACCGATCCCACAGAAATACAAACTACCATCAGAGAATACTATAAACACCTCTATGCAAATAAACTAGAAAATCTAGAAGAAATGGATAAATTCCTCGACACATACACCCTCCCAAGACTAAACCAGGAAGAAGTTGAATCTCTGAATAGACCAATAACAGGATCTGAAATTGAGGCAATAATTAATAGCTTACCAACCAAAAATGTCCAGGACCAGATGGATTCACAGCCGAATTCTACCGGAGGTACAAGGAGGAGCTGGTACTGTTCCTTCTGAAACTATTCCAATCAAAAGAAAAAGGGGGAATCCTCCCTAACTCATTTTATGAGGCCAGCATCATCCTGATACCAAAGCCTGGTACAGACACAACAAAAAAAGAGAATTTTAGACCAATATCCTTGATGAACATTGATGTAAAAATCCTTAATAAAATACTGGCAAACCGAATCCAGCAGCACATCAAAAAGCTTATTCACCATGATCAAGTGGGCTTCATCCCTGGGATGCAAGGCTGGTTCAACATACGAAAATCAATAAACATCATCCAGCATATAAACAGAGCCAAAGACAAAAACCACATGATTATCTCAATAGATGCAGAAAAGGCCTTTGACAAAATTCAACAATGCTTCATGCTAAAAACTCTCAATAAATTAGGTATTGATGGGACATATCTCAAAATAATAAGAGCTATCTATGACAAACCCACAGCCAATATCATACTGAATGGACAAAAACTGGAAGTGTTCCCTTTGAAAACTGGCACAAGACAGGGATGCCCTCTCTCACCACTCCTATTCAACATAGTGTTGGAAGTTCTGGCCAGGGCAATCAGGCAGGAGAAGGAAATAAAGGGCATTCAATTAGGAAATGAGGAAGTCAAATTGTCCCTGTTTGCAGATGACATGATTGTATATCTAGAAAACCCCATCATCTCAGCCCCAAATCTCCTTAAGCTGATAAACAACTTCAGCAAAGGCTCAGCATATAAAATCAAAGTGCAAAAATCACAAGCATTCTTATACACTAATAACAGACAAACAGAAAGCCAAATCATGAGTGAACTCCCATTCACAATTGCTTCAAAGAGAATAAAATACCTAGGAATCCAACTTACAAGGGATGTGAAGGACCTCTTCAAGGAGAACTACAAACCACTGCTCAAGGAAATAAAAGAGGATACAAACAAATGGAAGAACATTCCATGCTCATGGGTAGGAAGAATCAATATCATGAAAATGGCCATACTGCCCAAGGTAATTTATAGATTCAATGCCATCCTCATCAAGCTACCAATGACTTTTTTCACAGAATTGGAAAAATCTACTTTAAAGTTCATATGGAACCAAAAAAGAGCCCGCATTGCCAAGTCAATCCTAAGTCAAAAGAACAAAGCTGGAGGCATCACGCTACCTGACTTCAAACTATACTACAAGGCTACAGTAACCAAAACAGCATGGTACTGGTACCAAAACAGAGATATAGACCAATGGAATGGAACAGAGCCCTCAGAAATAATGCCACATATCTACAACTATCTGATCTTTGACAAACCTGAGAAAAACAAGCAATGGGGAAAGGATTCCCTATTTAATAAATGGTGCTGGGAAAACTGGCTAGCCATATGTAGAAAGCTGAAACTGGATCCCTTCCTTACACCTTACACAAAAATTAATTCAAGATGGATTAAAGACTTACATGTTAGACCTAAAACCATAAAAACCCTAGAAAACCTAGGCAATACCATTCAGGACATAGGCATGGGCAAGGACTTCATGTCTAAAACACCAAAAGCAATGGCAACAAAAGCCAAAATTGACAAATGGGATCTAATAAAACTAAAGAGCTTCTGCACAGCAAAAGAAACTACCATCAGAGTGAACAGGCAACCTACAAAATGGGAGAAAATTTTTGCAACCTACTCATCTGACAAAGGGCTAATATCCAGAATCTACAATGAACTCAAACAAATTTACAAGAAAAAAACAAACAACCCCATCAAAAAGTGGGCAAAGGATATGAACAGACACTTCTCAAAAGAAGACATTTATGCAGCCAAAAAACACATGAAAAAATGCTCAACATCACTGGCCATCAGAGAAATGCAAATCAAAACCACAATGAGATACCATCTCACACCAGTTAGAATGGCGATCATTAAAAAGTCAGGGAACAACAAGTGCTGGAGAGGATGTGGAGAAATAGGAACACTTTAACACTGTTGGTGGGACTGTCAACTAGTTCCACCATTATGGAAGTCAGTGTGGCGATTCCTCAGGGATCTGGAACTAGAAATACCATTTGACCCAGCCATCCCATTACTGGGTATATACCCAAAGGATTATAAATCATGCTGCTATAAAGACACCTGCACACGTATATTTATTGCGGCACTGTTCACAATAGCAAAGACTTGGAACCAACCCAAATGTCCAGCAATGATAGACTGGATTAAAAATATGTGGCACATATACACCATGAAATACTATGCAGCCAAAAAAAATGATGAGTTCATGTCCTTTGTAGGGACATGGATGAAACTGGAAACCATCATTCTCAGCAAACTATCACAAGGACAAAAAAACACACACCGCATGTTCTCACTCATGGGTGGGAATTGAACCATGAGAACACATGGACACAGGAAGGGGAACATCACACACCGGGGACTGTTGTGGGGTGGGGGGAGGGGGGAGGGATAGCATTAGGAGATATACCTAATGCTAAATGACGAGTTAATGGGTGCAGCACACCAACATGGCACATGTATACATATGTAACAAACCTGCACGCTGTGCACATGTACCCTAAAACTTAAAGTATAATAATAAAATTTAAAAAAAAGAAAAACTACATATTAATTTGACTTTCTCAAAAATTAAAATGTCTAGAAAAAGTTCTAGAGATCCATTTCATAACAGTGTGACTCTACTTAACACTACTGAACTGTAAACTTAAAAATGGTTAAATGGGTATGAAAAAATAGTTTGACAGAATGAATAATACCTAGTATTTGATAGCACAGCAATGTGATTATAGTCAAAATAATTTAACTGTACATTTAAAAATAAATAAAAGAGTATAATTGGATGGTTTGTAACACAAAGGATAAATGCTTGATGTGATGGATACTCCATTTTCCATGATGTGATTATTACGCGTTGCATGCCTGTATCAAAACATCTCATGTACCCCAGAAATATATATACCTACTATATAACCACAAATATTAAAAAATTTTAAATTGTTAAGATGATAAATTTAATGTTATGTGTTTTATCATAATAAATACATACAATAATCATAAGCAGCCTGAAAAAATCAACCTACAGATTTAATGAAGTTATTGGCAGCCAACAAATGATAAAAGATTAATATCTAGAATATACAGTTATCCTTTTAGTTGATAAGAAGAAGGCAATGAGCCAGGTGGTAAATGTGCAAAGGATATAAACAAGATTCATGGAGAAAATCAGTGTCTAATAATTACATTTTTTAAATGTTCCACTTCAATAAAACTCAGGGAAATGAAAATTAAAATGACAATAAAATAACATGGCACACCTATCAGATGGGCAGAAATTAATGTCTGATAACATAAAGCATTAGCAATGTGGAGAAGTGAACATTTCCATATATGGCTGGTGGGAGAGTGAATGGAAACAACCACTCTGGAAAGTAGTTTCGCAGTAGCCAGTGAGGTGAAGATGAACAGTTAAGTTAAGAGGCTCTGTAACTGAGCAATTCCACTTCTAAAGAAACATCCTAGGGTAACTCTTAGACACGTAGTCAAGGAGACATCCAAGAGGATGTCCACTGCTGTGCATAACAGAAAAGGAAAGAAAAGGAAGGAGAAAAAAAGGTAGAAAGCAGGGTTGAAGAAAGGATCTAAATGTCTATGAGTAGGAGGAATACATAAATAAAACATAATTTATCTATTCATACTCATGGAGGAATAGATAAATAAACCACATTGAACTGTATGAGAAATACTGTTCAGCAATTAAAATGACTGAGGTAGTTATATGTATATGAACATGATTAAGTCTCAAATGCATATTGAGTGAAAAATTATAATTTGCAAAGTATATTTAGATTATATATCATTATACCATCTATTTAAATTTTTTTTTAAAATCAAATGGTGTAATTGTTTATGGATACAAAAGAGCCTAAACAATGTTTAGAAATGTTTTAATGCTTCTTAAAAGGATCTAAAAATGTGGCAAAAAATATACATTTAACATCAGTTGGTGGGCATATGAGGGGACTTCAGAAAGTTCATGGAAAAAAAGAAATTAAAAGATTAAAACCTTTAAAAAATACCACTTATTTTCAGTATAAGCTCCATCGAGGTCAAGACACTTTTGTAAGTGATGTTATCAGCCATTTAGTTCCTCCCTAAAGAACCGAGGGTCCTGGGAATTTAACCATGTCAATGCAGTCTTTCTTACATTATTAACTGAAGAAAAATAGGTGCCTTTTACAACTTTAAGATTAGGAAACAAAAAGAAGACAGAAAGACCCAAATAAGGACTGTAGGGTGGACGCCTAATGACTTCCTATTAAAACTCTCATAAAATTGCCCTTGTTTGATGAAAGGAATGAGCAGGAGCATTGTCATGTTGGAGAAGGACTCTCTGGTAAAGCTTTCCTGGGCATTTTTCTGCTAAAGCTTTGGCTAACTTTCTCAAAACACTCTCATAATAAGTAGATGTTATCATTTTTTGCCCTCCAGAAAATAAACAAGCAAAATTCCTTGAGCATCCAAAAACACTTTTGCCATGGCCTTTGCTCTGACTGATCTGCTTTTACTTTGGCTGGAGCACTTCCTCCTCCTGGTAGCCATTGCTTTGATTGTGCCTTGTCCTCAGGATTGACATGAAAGCTATGTTTCATTTCCTGTTCTAACTCTTTGAAGGAATGCTTCAGGATCTTGATCCCACTAATTTAAAATTTCTATTGAAAGCTCTTCTCTTGTTTGCAACTGATCTAAGTGCAATGGTTTTGGCATCCATCAAGTGGAAAGTTTGCTCACCCTTTAATTTTTCAGTCATAATTGTGTAAGCTGAACCAATTGAGATGTCTATGGCATTGGCTATTGTTTCTGCCATTAAATCCCCTTCATAACTTGATGTAGATGGTCTGCTGCTGTGACCTTCATCTTCAACATTCTCATCCCTTCTTGAAATGAGTTATCTGTTTGTAAACTGCTGACTTCTTTGGGGCATTATCTTCATTATGATTGTCTTAAATCATCAGTGATTTCACTATTCTTCCACTCAAGCTTCACCATAAATTTGATGTTTTGTCTTGCATCAATTTTAGCAGAATTCATATTGCTCTGCTAGGTGCTATTTTCAAACTGATGCCTTATTCTTTTCAGTGCCTCAAACTAGATCCTGTTCAGACATGTTATAACAAGTTAGTGTCAGTTTATTTTGGTGCAAAACAATTTTGAAATCCATGCACAGTTTTTTCATAATACTCATTTTCCATGAACCTTCTGTAGACCCTTCATATAAGTGTCTATTATTTTTGTGTTTTGGGAGGTGTCTGAAATATTTCATAGTTTAAAATGCAAAAGATAAAGTATCAATAAGTTATAAGCAGCAGCTATGAAGTCTAGAGCAGTCTATCATAGTGGTCTACGGTGTTAATTACCCACAAAAATGTCACCATTATTGTCAATTATGAAGGTCCCTGGTACACATGTCTAAAACCTTGCCAAAGATCATTCTTTATCCCCAAAAGCAGATTAGTGTAAATCAAGTTTATTTGCTAAGCTTGGAAAAATCTAATCTTGTGATTTATAAAATTATTAATAAGTAGCCAAATGATAACAGCTAAGATGACTCCTCTTAGCAATTCTTATACATATAATTATACATTACATTCGTTCCTCAGTATCCATGGGTTATTGGTTCTAGGACCCCTGTGGATACTAAAATACATGAATGCTCAGGTTCCTGATATAAAATGGTATCATATTTGCATAAAACCTTTGCATACAACCCATGCAATCCTCCTACATACTTTAAATCATCTCCTAGATTAGTTTTAAGATCTAATAGAATCTAAATGCTTTGTAAATAGTTGTTATACTGTATTGTTTAGGAGATAAGAAAAAAGGGACAAGAAAAAAAGTCTGTACATGTTCAGTAGAGACTCAACCACCCTTTTTTTTTTTTCTTTTTCTTTTTCGAAATGGAGTCTCACTCTGTCACCCAGGCTGGAATGCAGTGGTGCAATCTCGGCTCACTGCCTACCTCCCAGGCCCAAGTGGTTCTCCCATCTTAGCCTCCCAAGTAGCTGGAACTACAGATGTGCAACACCATGCCAATTTTTGTGTTTTCAGTAGAGACGGGATTTTGTCATGTTGCCCAGGCTGGTCTCAAACTCCTGGACTCAAGCAATCCACCTGCCTTGGCCTCCTAAAGTGCTGAGATTATAGGTGTGAGCCACCATGCCCGGCCTTCTACTTAAAAAATAGTACTTTCAATCCACATTAATTTTTTTTAACAAAGTGTCTTTTTTGACATACAAATACAACTAATACAAAACGAGATCATTTTCCCTTTGATTCCAGTGATAACAAGCTGCTAAAGAAAATATACATATATATATCAAGAAGGAGTTTATCTTCCAAGTTTTCTCTAAAAAAAACCCCAGAAAAAAATTAAAAGAACCATTCACATGTCCTATACCTATGAGACACCAACCAAAATAACCTGAAATAGGGTGGATACAACTAAAACTTTTAAGACTTCATGTCTAAAACACCAAAAGCAATGGCAACAAAAGCCAAAATTGACAAATGGGATCTAATTAAACTAAAGAGCTTCTGCACAGCAAAAGAAACTACCATCAGAGTGAACAGGCAACCTACAAAATGGGAGAAAATTTTCGCAATCTACTCATCTGACAAAGGGCTAATATCCAGAATCTACAATGAACTCAAACAAATTTACAAGAAAAAAACAAACAACCCCATCAAAAAGTGGGCGAAGGATATGAACAGACACTTCTCAAAAGAAGACATTTATGCAGCCAAAAAACACATGAAAAAATGCTCATCATCACTGGCCATCAGAGAAATGCAAATCAAAACCACAATGAGATACCATCTCACACCAGTTAGAATGGCAATCATTAAAAAGTCAGGAAACAACAGCTGCTGGAGAGGATGTGGAGAAATAGGAACACTTTTACACTGTTGGTGGGACTGTAAACTAGTTCAACCATTGTGGAAGTCAGTGTGGCGATTCCTCAGGGATCTAGAACTGGAAATACCATTTGACCCAGCCATCCCATTACTGGGTATATACCCAAAGGACTATAAATCATGCTGCTATAAAGACACATGCACACGTATGTTTATTGCGGCATTATTCACAATAGCAAAGACTTGGAACCAACCCAAATGTCCAACAATGATAGACTGGATTAAGCAAATGTGGCACATATACACCATGGAATACTATGCAGCCATAAAAAATGATGAGTTCATGTCCTTTGTAGGGACATGGATAAAATTGGAAATCATCTTTCTCAGTAAACTATCGCAAGAACAAAAAACCAAACACCGCATATTCTCACTCATAGGTGGGAATTGAACAATGAGATCACATGGACACAGGAAGGGGAATATCACACTCTGGGGACTGTTGTGGGGTCGGGGGAGGGGGGAGGGATAGCATTGGGAGATATACCTAATGCTAGATGACGAGTTAGTGGGTGCAGTGCACCAGCATGGCACATGTATACATATGTCACTAACCTGCACAATGTGCACATGTACCTTAAAACTTAAAGTATAATAAAAAAAAATTTAAAAAAAAGAGACAAAGTCATTATAAGGTAATAAAGTGGTCAATTCAGCAAGAGGGCAAAAAAAAAAAAACTAATACTTTTAAAATCTTACAAAATACACTAACAGGCTTCAAACAAAAAACAACAAAAAGTTTGGTACAAAAGGCCTGCTGTGTTTCTCAAAAGCAAGACCTGGGGGAAGTGGAGAAAGACTGATGTTTTGGAAATTAATGGGCTCAACACCGACGAGAGTAACTGCAGATCTCAGACAGTGCTCTCCCACTCCAGCCCCGACCTCCTGAGGAGCCCTTCCTGACACGGCCTGCTGAGACTTCAGTGAGCAGGGAATGGCACCAAGCCCTCATTTACCAGTTGGTGCCAGGAGTCCAGTGACTGGAGAATATGTACACTGAACTCACCTTAAGTGTGATGTACACTGGGGGGTTCCTTTTGGTCACCTTGAGTGAGATGTATCAGAAATCTATGATCTAAGAAAATAAATATTTCGCTCTGTGTCCTTTGACAGACAAGGACCAGAGGAAAATCTCTTCTTAAACATGCTTCTGTGGTTTCATGAGTCTTAGGAGTCCACCAAAAACCTCCCAGCGCCCTCAACTCTCCCTTGGGTGACACCCCAGGGAGACAGCAGGGTGAGACATGCAGACTTATTCCAGTGTAAAGCCACAAGGCCCTCTCCCAAAGAGTGTCCACTCCCACCACTGCCAGAGTCAAGAGCAGCAGAGAGTGTTTAGCAGAGGGACCAGGCTGGGTGCGGGAGGCCCTGTGTACGCAGGCCTCTACACAAGTAGGAATCCAGGTGAGAATCAAGGACCACTCTGGGGAGATCTACCAGGACAAACTGCCTGAGTTGAGCAGAGGGTGAGATGTGAGCAGATACTGAGGTCAGAGAGACCAACAGATCTCCAGGAGAGCAACTTCATGAAGGCTAGAACCTTTACGATCCTCCCCAAAGCAGAGTTCAGGAATGTCCAAGGGGAAGTGTTGGGATTTTTCCTTGATAAGGATTTGTTTTATCTTCCCTGGAAGAGGAACAAGGCCTAGAGATCAGGATGAGTATTAGTTCTGAGGCTGCAACCTCTTTATCCTATCGAAGAAGAGGAAGGCCTTCTCCCCCTGCTCCAGCCTGTTGCCACAGGGTGACCTCAGAAAGAAAAGCAGCTGTTTTGGCCACAGAAAGGCATTCCTGCTGCAGCCTTAACTATGGCCTGGCTGGGTCATGGCAGTGGCACTAGTGCCTCACTGAGGCAGTAAGGGGCAAGGCTGGAGAGTGAGGGCAGGGGGACTGCTGCTGTCTGAGGGCTCTCTGAAGAGAGGGTGGTGGTGAGAAGTGATGCCCTTACCCTCAGAGAGCTATCAGCACCAAGAGATGAGTGAAAAAGGCATCTCTCATCTCTTGGTGCTGATAGCTCTGGGGGAAGATGAGGGGCCCCCTGATGTTATTCTACCCTGGAGACTAAGAACAGAGGTATCTGGGGTACAGGAAAGAAGCAGAGGATAATGAATGGTGGGAACTGGCAGAGAGAAACAGGCAGAACCTCTGGTTTTCTTCTATGAATAAAAACCTCAATCACTGCCATGAGACCAAGAGGTTAAGCTTAGAATGCAGCAACATCCAAAAGCATACACAAGCAGTCATCCCCATGGCAGGTCCCATATAACACCTCATTCCTGGTCCTTTTGAGAGGTGACAGCCTGCTGGCAGCACTCACTGGCTCTCGGTGCCTCCTCGGCCTCAGCGCCCATTCTGACCGCGCTTGAGGAGCCCTTCAGCCCGCCCCTGCACCGTGGGAGCCCTTCTCTGGGCTGGCCGAGGCCGGAGCCGGCTCCCTCGGCTTGCGGGGAGGTGTGGAGGGAGAGGCATGGGTGGGAACCGGGGCCGCGCACGGTGCTTGCGGGCCAGCTAGAGTTCCAGGTGGGCGTGGACTTGGCAGGCCCCACACTCCGAGCAGCCGGCTGGCCCTGGGCAGTGAGGGGCTTGGGGCTTAGCACCCAGGCCAGCAGCTGTGGAGAGTACGCTAGGTCCCCCAGCAGTGCCAGCCCACCAGCACTGCGCTCAATTTCTCGCCCGGCCTTAGCTGCCTCCCCGCCAGGCAGAGCTCGGGACCTGCAGCCCGCCATGCCTGAGCCTCCCCGCCCTCCTGCCGTGGGCTCCTGCATAGCCCGCGCCTCCCCAACGAGCACTGCTCCCTGCTCCATGGCACCCAGTCCCATCGACCACCCAAGGGCTGAGGAGTGTGGGCACACGGTGCAGGACCGGCAGGCAGCCCCACCTGCAGCCCTGGTACGAGATCCACTGGGTGAAGCCAGCTGGGCTCCTGAGTCTAGTGGGGACTTGGAGAACCTTTATGTCTAGCTAAGGGATTGTGAATGCACCAATCGGCACTCTGTGTCTAGCTCAGGGTTTGTGAATGCACCAATCAACACTCTGTATCTAGCTAATCTAGTGGGGAAGTGGAGAACTTTTGTGTCTAGCTCAGGGATTGTAAACGCACCAATCAGCACCCTGTCAAAATGGAACAATCAGCTCTCTGTAAAACAGACCAATCGGCTCTCTGTAAAATGGACCAATCAGCAGGATGTAGGTGGGGCCAGATAAGAAAATAAAAGCAGGCTGCCCGAGCCAGCAGTGGCTACCCGCTTGGGTCCCCTATCCACACTGTGGAAGCTTTGTTCTTTCACTCTTTGCAATAAATCTTGCTACTGCTCACTCTTTGGGTCCACACTGCCTTTAAGAGCTGTAACACTAGTCACAAAGGTCTGCAGTTTCACTCCTGAGCCAGAAAGACCACAAACCCACCGGGGGGAACAAACAACTCCAGACACGCCGCCTTAAGAGCTGTAACACTCACCGCGAAGGTCTGCAGCTTCACTCCTGAGCCAGCGAGACCACGAACCCACCGGAAGGAAGAAACTCCGAACACATTCGAACATCAGAAGGAACAAACCCTGGACACGCCGCCTTTAAGAACTGTGACACTCACTGTGAGGGTCCATGGCTTCATTCTTGAAGTCAGTGAGACCAGGAACCCACCAATTCCAGACACACTTTCAGCCTCTCTCGTATGGTCAGTGGCGGTGGCGATGGCAATGACGAGTGGCGATGAAGACAGCCAGCCTTCCTCCCAGCGGCTACTGGTCCCAAGCTGAGTCCACTCCATGGATTCATTAAAAACAGCAGGAAAGAGCTTTCCTCACTTCCCTGCATCTTGGCACAAAATATCTTCCCACAGTCTCCGTCAGAGCATTCCACCTGCGAAAGCCTTAGTCTCTCTGAAGCCTCTCTCTACGCCCAGATCTTACACCCAATGCGTTCCTCTTTGGGGTTCCAAACCACAGACCCAGAACTCCAAGATTTTCACAAAGGTGAAAATAAACATTCCATTTTCCCAAGTGTGTATGTGTGGGGGAGGGGAGTATCTAGGAGCTGCAGCGAAGTGGTTTCAGAACCTCCACCCCATGGCCCAGGAGCCTCACTGTGAGGATGAGCTTCACAGTCAGTCCTCCACTCACTTTTCCCTCTCCTCTTCATTCTCTCCTGGCACGCTGGTCTTCCAGAAGAGGGGAGGCAGTGTTCCGTGTTCTCGGGGTGCAGCCCGACAGGTGCAGGGCTGAGGAGGCCACAGCTCTGAGGGCACCTGGCAAATGGTGAGACCAAGGGAGACGACAGGCCTTAGAAGAGAGCACACTGATTTGCAAGTGGCTCTAGGAGGTCAGTGGCAGCAGCCACCACAGTGCCCACCTGCATGGGCATGCTGGCTGTCCCCAAACTTGGTCCTCCAGCTCAGGATCTTATAGGAGCAGTCCTCCCCACAGCAACCAGACATGCTGGGGGAAGAGTCATCAATTTCAAACTGCAGGCTTCTCTGAAGAATTGGTAGGTGCTATGATTGTGCCTGAACACCATTAACATAACCTCCATCATCTGTGTCCTGTTGGCCATGAGCTGCAGTCTCTGTAGGAGGAAATTCCCCCAGGCCTTTCCACCGCACCTTGCTTCCCACGTAGGACTTCATCCTCTGCACTCCACATCAAACGGGAAGTGAAAAAATGCAACAGGTGGGCAATGCATTCTCAAGCGAGGAGGCACCAGGCTGGGTGACTACCGTTTCTCCCGTTTCTCTCTGTCCTTCCAGCCCCACTCCCTCTACTCATACGTGGTCTGCCTATCGGTTTTGGTCAGGTCGAAGGCCCAATCCATGGTGGCTGGCTCCAGTCCAGACCCTGGCCTACACTCAGTAGAGACATTCAACCCGGTTTTGATCAGATTTCCTGAACAGCAGGAAAGCCTCCAGAGGGTCTCCAGGCCTGCTGATGGCGTCCCCTTTGGCACAAACAGCATCCATGGCTGCTGGCTCCTCCAACCACTTCTGTTTCTTCTCCTTAGCTTTGCTCGACTTTCTCCCCACAGCAGCGACGGCGACGCTCAGCAACTCCCTCAATCATTTGCTGGCAGGCACTCGCGACCTGCGGCCGTGGCTGCGGTGAAGACAAAATGGCGGGGTCCTGCACTGCGCATGTGCCTCGCGGGCTCCGCGGCCCCCTTCCCACTGCGCCCTGGCACCCACTCGCGCCCCCTCGCGGGCCACGTTGGTTAAATGAACGGATGCAGGATACAGAGGGCCTGTGGATATAGACGGCTGACTGAATGTACACGTTTACTATATAATTTTGTTTGTAAATTATATTATGATTTAATTCTATTTATAACTTTATAATTTTTTGTTTTACAAGCCTATAGAATTATATATAATTATTGTAGTTTATCCTTATCTCTGTTTCACGGAGAGGTAAATGATGACCAGGGAGTTACAAAGCTTCATAAGTTTCTCGTGAGTACCAGGGAGCAGAGCCGGGGTCTAAACCAGTCTGCCTTTTTTCTGAAGCCAGAGTCCTCTTCTTTACACCAAGCTACTCTATAGAAAGAGCATTCTCAGGCCAGGCGCAGTGGTTCACACCTGTAATCCCAGCACTTTGGGAGGCCGAGACGGGTGGATCACCTGAGGCCAGGAGTTGGAGACCAGCCTGACCAACATGGTGAAACTCCGTCTCTACTAAAAATACAAAAATTAGCCAGGCGTGGTGGCCTGCACCTGCAATCCCAGCTATTCAGGAGGTGGAAGTAGGAGAATCGCTTGAACCCGGGAGGTGAAGGTTGCAGTGAACCAGGATCACGCCACTGCACCGGGATCGTGCCACTGCACTCCAGCCTGAGCGACAGACTCCGTCTCACCAAAAAAAAAAGTAAAATAAAAATGTAGGAAGAGCATTCTCAGAGAAGCTCAGTTCCAACCTTCAACCTCAATTTTTTATCACCTTATGTTTTTTATTTAGGGAATGTGTATTGGAGAAAAAATAACAGAGTCTGGCTAAAGAGATGAAGAGCTCATGAGGGCGTGTCTCAATTTAAACAAGAGTAGCATTGGCAATTGTTGTCCTTAGCAGCAGCCGACAAGGCGGAATTGGAATGGTGCTGCTCCTGACTACCTCTACTCCACGCTAGGCTTAGGGGCTGGAGTGACCCAAGCCCTCAGGGTAAGAAAAGTCCGATTTAGAACCTAGGACCTGACGACAGGGAACATTTAAACCGTCAGTTCCTACCTTAATCTTATCCCTTCTTCTCTCTCATGACACCATTTTTGTTCCCCTAACAACTCAGGGCTTTTCCAAACTCTGAGGCAATTCCTACCCCAAGCAGAATTTTGAAAGCTTTTTTCCAACACCATGTTATTCAACAACAATCCCACTTTGCTGCCACCACAGCCCAGCACGTGTTCCCAAAGACTGAAAGCTGTCTTGTTTGTGATTGAGACCCTGCCAGGCACCCTGGGGCCTGACGGCTTTTATCTGGGGTACCTCATCTGCTCATAGGTCCTACTGGGTGCTGCTCATGAGCCAGATTTGGACAAGAACATTTTAGGTTTTATTCTGGGTTTTTATTCCTACTTACAAGGTGTCAAAGAACAAACTTTCAACAAACTGAGATTCAAAGATCTAACAGACAATTATTAGTGATTCACAAACCAGGCAGCATTCAGCCCACAAAATGGAAGGGAGCTCCACTGAGCTGAGCAGAGAGGGCAGGTTTCATAGGCAGAAAAGGCTGGAGAAAGCCGAAACAAGGAACATAAGGTGGACTTGCCATTTCAAAGTTACTTTCCTTACAGAGAGTCTTGTTGGCTTAGTGAGATTTGGCTATCATATCTCTCCTGATTTCTGAAAAGATCAGACTTTACAGGTAAACAGCTTAGCATTTGGTTTGGTGATGTGGAATCGTAGTATGAGTAACTCTATTTTGGGTAGGTCTGCTGGGACCTAGTGCAGGAATTCAGTCCAAAACAATGGCCTCCCATAAACTTTATTTAACGGAGCTCTGTGATGTTGAGCAAGTTACTTCACTTCTCTGGACCACAGCTTCCTCATTTGGGAATGGAGACTGTAATGCTAGCTACTTCCTAGGCTTATAGTGAGGAGTAAATACATAGGGATGGAAAGTGCATATCAATACAATGCCTGTCACTGAAGGACTCATTAGGTGTTAGCTGTTATTAGACTGTAGCTATTGTGAATATCAGGCTTCCCCTCTGTGTTGTCTGGGCTTCTGAATATCACCTTCTCCTGAGTTTCCCATCGTCCTGTTTGTCCCCCTGCAAGGCCCTTTACCATACTGGGTGAGAACCTCCAGGATACCTCTTCTCTGTCTCCATGCTCTTCAATTGCTGTTTTATTTCTACAGTTGGATTTTTTTTCCCCAGGACCTGCAGCGGCTGAAGTCCTCTCAGCACCTGCAATATCCCAGAGGGCAAAGACAGGGCCAAATACTGGATTCTGGATTCTCTTCATTGTTGTCCCCCTGCAAGTGGAGAGGTATCCAGGCTGGGCCTTGTCCTAAGATATGACGGAACTGAATTCTTCCAGCAAGCATGTGAGCTTGGAAGAGAACACCATGCGCCACACGAGAATGCATACTGGCCAACACCCTGTGCAAAGATCCAGAGAAGCTGTGCTCAGACTCCTGACTCATGAAAATAGTGAACTTATAAATGTATATTGTTTTAAGATGCTAAATTTGTGGTGATGTGTTACATGGCAATAGAAAACTAATAGAGATAAAACTTGACATTTGAAGTGCATCACATAATGAAATTAGTAGATGAGAATCTCTCTAGAAACAAGTAAAATTTTGAGTTAAAATGAGAGACTGGACATATAATTCCTCCTCCCTCCAAAATCCCAGGAAATGAGTAGTTAAAAAAATTTTTTTTTAATTTTACAAGATAAGAACAACAAGCAGAGATACTTGAAGTAGGGGCTGGTTCTTCTTCACTCCCTTTGTTATATAACTGAACTTCCTCACACTTGAGAAGTACATTTCCCTGCTCCTTGACTTTCAACTCAGCCATGTGGCTTGCTTTGGCCAATGAGTTATAGGTAGACGTGATGTGACCAGAGGTTTAGAACTCATCACTGATCTTGAAACCACCTTTGCAAAATTATGACTGAGACAGTGAAACAGATCTAACTTAGCCAACTCCGTCTTCTTCCAACCTGCAGGCTGTGCTTGTTCATTCTGGGTGTAGGCTGAACTAACTTTGGGAGAAACTTAGTTTATAGTTTAAAACAAAGATGATAACAGCCCTTTCCCAAAGCAGACCTTCTTCTTGCCTGGGGACTAGATTGCCTTTGTAGGACTGACAGTAGCCACGAGATTAGAAATTATGATTTAGGAATCGTGCAGCTGGAGGCTACAAGATTCTGACCCTCCCTAAATTGCTCCTAAGATCAATGCTTGAGATATTTTGCAGACCCTGCACTTGATGGCACCACTCAGATCAATAAACTGGCTCATCTGATCTTGTGGCCCCTTACCCAGGAACTGACTCATCACAAGAAGACAGCTTCAACTCCCTATGATTTCATCTTTGACCAATCAGCACTCCTGGCTCACCGGCTTCCCACACACCCACCAAGTTGTTCTTAAAAACTCTGCTCTCCGAATGCTCGGGGAGACTGATTTGAGTAATAATAAAACTCTGTTCTCCCACACAGCCGGCTCTGTGTGAATAACTCTTTCTCTATTGCAATTCCCCTGTCTTGATAAATTGTCTCAGTCTAGGCAGCAGGCAAGGTGAGCCCACTGTGCAGTTACAATCTTGCCTTTTATGCTTCTACCATCACTATGTGAAGAGCTGCACTGGCTAGCATTCTGGTCCAATTGGAGTGGGAAAGACATTGAGTAGATCTGGACAACCTGCTGCTTAGAACATATCCCAGCTAAGCTCAACATGGATTAAATGACCCCAGGTTAATGTGCAAACATCTGAGAGAAAATAAATGATTGTTTTCTTAAGCCACCAATATTTTCAGTTGTTATTCAGTAACATTGTGAAAAGAGGTGACTAATACAAGAGAAGAAACAACAGTAAAAAAAATTTGGACGTGTAAAAGCAGATGGTAATGTCCACTTTCATTTCTGACAGTATAACATATCAAAACTAATGCCAGTTCTAGAACTGAGACATAAAACATCTAAAATTAAAAATGTAATAGGTGGTTTTGAAAGCGGAGAAGAGGATTATTGAATTGGAAGATAGGTTAATAGAAAATATCCAAATCGAAGCAGAGAAAGAAAAAAATATAGGTAAAAGTATATGTGAAACACAAACAGTCTAAAATTAGTGTAAAGGGAGTTCCAAAAGAAGAGGAAAAAGTGGATGAGCAGAAATAAGATTTGAAAAGAAATTTTCAAAACTGACAAAAAAAAAATCAAAACTCAGATTTAAGAAGTTCGGGAACCCCAAGCAGAATAAAGTCAAAGAAAATTGCATATAAATATATCAAGATAAAAGAGCTAACAACCAAAGATAAAGAGAAAAATCCTAACAACTGCTGAGGGTGGGGGTAGAGGGTGCTGGGAAACACATTACCTTCAAACCCCCAACAATAAGACTAAAAGCTTACTTCTCAACAGAAATGCAGGAAGCAGGAAAAGATATTTGGAATAGTTTTTCCAAAATATTTGGAATAGTTTCTCTAAAATATTCCAAAGGAATATCTTTAAAGTATTTTAAAAGACAATATTTGCCAAGTTACAATTCCAAACTCAACAAAAAATATCCTTTAAAAATAAAGCAAAATAAACAATCACCTGCTGGCCTGTACTGAAAAAAACACTGAAGGGAATTCTTCAGAAAAATGGTATCAGACAGAAATGAAAAAATGCAGGTAGGAATGAGGAGCACCGAATAGTGTATATGTATTTAAAATACAAATGAATATTGACCCTACAAAACAAGAGTAATTATGTCTTTGAAGTTTCAAATACAGGTTGAGTATTTCTTTTTCAATATGCTTGGGATCAGAAGTGTTTGGGTCCATATTTGGGATTTGTTTTTTTGGATTTTGGAATATTCGCGTATACATAATGAGATATCTTCTATTTTCCCACAGTTCTGGAGGCAGAAGTCCAAGATTAAGGGGTCAGTGGGGTTGGTTTCTTCTGAGCCCTCTCTACCTGGCTTGCAGAGGACTGTCTTCTCATTGAGCTCTCACATGTTCTTTACTCTGCATGTGCACATCCCTGGTTCCTCTTGCTCTTCTTATAAGGTTATACACCAATTATATTGGATTAGGGCTCCGCCATCATGACCTTACTTAACCTTAATAACCTTTTTAAAGGCCCTGTCTCAAAATACAGCCACATTGTGGGTCAGGGCTTCAAATATGAATTTTGAGGGGATGCAATTTAGTCTATAACATTTATCTAGAATTAAAAATTCAAGGCAAGAAAAGTTACTGGAGAGGAAAAAAATAAGTGGAGTTAAAATATACCAAAGTTCCAGCATTATCAGGGAAGTTGAAAATATACTCAACTGTAGTTAGTCATGAATGTTTACTGTAACTTCTAGCATAACTTCTAAAAGAAGATGTATAACAGAAAATAGTATTTAAAAAATCAATTCACTTAAAAGAAAGCAAGAAAACAACAGAACAGCTGAGTCAAATACAAAGGAAATATTAGATGGCAGATATAAATCTGAATATATCTGTATTGGGTTAAATATTTCAGTTAAAAGATTAAAATAATCAGATTAGATTAAAAGTTAAAAGAACTACATACTGTTTTGAAGAGTGCCTTGTAGTTATGTTACAATCAAAGTCAACTTTAAAGCAAGAAACACCACAAGAAATGAGGAGGATCATAATATAATGAAGTGCTCAGATCACCATGAAGATATCACGTCTACCAATTCTAAATCATATGCATCCAATAACATAGCTTCAAAATATATAAAGAAGAAATTGGTGAAACCAAAAAAAAATACACAAATGCAAATTGATGAAACTAGAAATGAAATAAATAAAACTAATCAAAAAAAGTAGGATATTTTGACACAGTCCCTGAAACTAGTAGAACATGCAGACAAAAATAAAATCAGTAAAAATGTAGAGGCTCTAAACAACACAATTAACATGACCAGATGGGCACATACAGAATACTATGTCCAGCAATGGCAGAATACAATGAAATGAAAACTCCAGAAAATTCATCAGTGAAGTCTTCCAGACTAATTAGGAAGAAGTAATGCCAATCAAATACAAACTCTTTAATATTGCATATATTTATGGAAAAAGATTAACCTGGGCCACTACCTCACACCATACACAAAATCAGGCCCAGGGAGAATTTTTTAAAATCTGAGTAAATCTAAATCTGAGAGGTAACACAAATATAGCTTCTTAAAAATAAAATAAGGAGATATCTTCATGACTCTTGAGTAGACAAAGACATTAAATAAGACATTTTTAAAAATCATCCCTAAAGGAAAAGATTAATGAATTGGAAAAGTGAAGAATTTGTGTACATTGTGAAAAAGCATGTCATCAAAAGGCAGAAAAATATTTACAATGATGTATCTGATTAAAAAATTTTTATCTAGAAAAAATAATTATTAGTAAGAAAATGACAGATAAGCCAATAGAAAAATGGACAGAAACTTAAATAGGCACTTTTTGAATAAGATATACAAATGACTAGAAACATTTATTATCGTAAGTCATCAAGAGGTTCAAATTAAAATCACAATGAAATACCAGTATGCACCCAATTAGAATGGCTCATATTTTAAAACCAACAATATCAATTACTGGTGAGGATGTGGGGGCCAATGAAACTGCCAGTAGGAGCATAAATTGGTGCAGTTACTTTGGAAAACTGGCAGTATCAACTAAAACTGGAAAAACCCATCCCCTAAGACCCGGAAATCCCCTTTCTATATATCCACCCAAGAGAAATGCACACACATGTACACCAAAAGACATAAACATTAATGTTCATGACAACATTACCTGTACAACAAGAAAGAAAGGCATGAGATCCAGAAAAACAAATACAGCACAGGACAAAGATAAGGGGAATTCCAAGAATTATAGCAAACAGAAATCCCAGGATAAGAGCTGCCCAGGGATCCCAGGAAGCAAGCGGCACAGGAAGGAGAATGGAAGCTTCCAAGGGAGTGCCTTCAGGCAAGAAAAATGGGATTGATGGATTCCCTGATGCAAGTCAGCTCGAGGAAACTTACACCGTGGGCTGTGAGATGTGTGCAAAGAACAAGCAATGAGCACAAACAAAACTAACTAAATAAAGACATGGGCCATTGTTACTTTCAGGAAAAGAAATGAAAAGAAGGAAATGTCACACTCCAACCTTCAGCTGTGAAGATTATTTGTATATGTATATTAATATTCTGAATATTGCCTCCAACAATTTGGAAGGACTATGTTGGGAGGATAGAGAAAGGGATTCGGAGATGGGGACATTGTAAGAAAGCTAAATCTTCATTTGCTACAATAGGAAGTCAGTAGATAATGTCTAAATTTTGGAAATAATTAGATGTGTAAGGGCCAGAGAGACAGATAAAAGAATTGAAAGTGCTTGTCCTTAGAGTGGAAATGTGGAGAGAGTGGGGAAGGGAGAGATGGAAACACTGCATTTTACAAAAGCCTGTTAGAACTATTTGAGTTTTTACAATTCTGTGCTGACATTACTTTGATAAAATAAAAATCAAGTAAGTAAACAATAAGTGAAATGAGAAAAAAGTCTAAAAGAACATAAACCAAAATAGTAACAGTGTCTCCAAGTAATGTGATTATAAGTCATTAGTTTTGTTTCTTTTTTCTCCTCTGATTTTTCTACAATGAACATTTTTAACAATTAAAAGATCCAGTTTATTATTAAGCAGAATATTTTATTTATGTGAGGTCATAATTGTTTTCTGTGAACTCCCGAGGGAACTGTTACAGGTTGCTCAGCAATGAAATCAGAGCTCAGGAAGCTCCAAGTTGGGGTCTGGCAGAAGTGACACTGCTGGGCCAGAACAGGGCAACAAGTGATCCAAGCAATGTCCATAAGGGCAGGCCAGGCGCTCATTTCCGAAGGGGTCAGTGTACAAGTCTGATGGGGAGGCATGGGCACAGAGTGCGGGCGGGCACATGTGGAAGCCAGGCAGAGGCTGGGCACCTAAAAGCCCAGCAGCAGACAATCACGTTTCACATACACAAGAGGCTCTGCCTTTCAGGCTGTAGACGCCCAAGCAGGATCTGGTTTCAGGGAGCTTCGCTTAAGCTGGAAAACCTGCATGTCTGCTTAACTTAGGGGCTTCCATAGCTGCCTGTTCATGTTTGTGCTGCCTGAGCCAACCAATAGGCTGTGACCTATGTCAATCAATCAGAACTCAGCAAGTATTGACCAATCAGAACTCACCAAACATGAACCCGTCAGAACTAAGCAAGTTTGAATCCTTTATTTGACTAAGTGGACCTGAGTGGAACCTGGATGGGATCTTTCACTATAAAAGAAAAATCTTTCCTTTGCTCTCTTACCAGGAGAAACTAGATGGTTAGGCAAGCAACCCATCTGCCCTGAATGAATTCAGAAAAAGCCAACATGGGAAACTGGGGGATCTCTCTAAGGTCCAAACTCTGGGATTCCTGGCAGTGAGAGACTTCGGGGTGACTCAGGGAGCCCAGCCATTGCAACCAAGCCCCTGGGAACTATGCCCAGAGTTGTCAATTCATTATACCCTGTGTTAGTTCCTACAGCTGCTGTAACAAAGTAGCATAAACGAGCATATAAACAACAGCAATTTATTGTCTCACCATTCTGGAGGCTAGAAGTTCAAGATCAAGGTGTCAGAAGAGCCATGCTCCCTCTGAAGGTGCTACAGAAGGATCTGTTGCAGGCACCTCTCCTAGCTTCTGGTAGTTCCTTGGCTTGTGGCAGCATAACTGCAATCTTCACGATTGCTCACTCTCTCTCTCTCTCTGTCTCTCTCTGTCTCTCTGTCTCTCTTTCTCTCTCTCTCCCTCTGTCTCTATCTCTCTTTCTTTCTCTATGTCTGTCTCTCTCTCTCTCCGTCTCTCTCTTTCTCTGTCTCTCTCCCTCTCTCTCTGTCTCTCTTTCTCCCTCTGTGTGTGTGTGTTTCTGTCTGTCTGTCTTCAAGTCCAAATTTCACTTTCTCATAAGAACACCTGTCATATTTGGATTAATGGCCCACCCTATTTCAGTATGACCTTATTTTAACTTTATTAATCACATTAATGAAGTAACCCTATATTTACAGTAACCCTATATTCAGACAAGGTCACATTCTGAGGTCATGGGTGTTAGGTCTTCAATATATAAATTTGGGGAGGTGGGACACAATGCAACCCATAATACAGTCCCAGAGTGATATAGGTATTAGAGTTTGGATTCAGCCTCAAACAGAAGGTGGGGCATACCAGTGGATCCAATTTCAAGGAGCTGAGGAAAACCACGGCAGAATAAAAGAGCAAAGCCATATACCACCCTTCGGTGCATATATGAGAATGAATGAATGTATATAGTATTACCCATTTGACTTCAGGTGTGACATGGAAGTATGGTACAGTAGGATGACACAAAGGAGTTGTCATTAGCATCACTGCTGAGATCATCATCAAAATCACAGCCAACAAGTCCTCAGCACCTACCTAAATGAACTATTTTACATGACTCGACACAGCTAATCCTCAACTTGGACCAGTGGGATGGGTATGACTTTTATCCTGTGAACAAAATTCTCTGAAAGAGAATTTAGAGGAAAGAGACTTTATTCCAGTAACAGTTGGCAAACCGAAGAGACACAGCCTTCAGTGTAAAATGAAGGTACGTTCCAGAGAGCAAAGGGAAGGTTTTTCTTTTATAGTGAAAGATCCCATCCAGGTTCCACTCAGGTCCACTTAGTCAAATAAAGGATTCAAACTTGCTTAGTTCTGACCGGTTGATGTTTGGTGAGTTCTGATTGGTCAACACTTGCTGAGTTCTGATTGGTTGACATAGGTCACAGTCTATTGGTTGGCTCAGGCAGCACAAACATGAACAGGCAGCTATGAAAGCCCCTAAGCAGACATGCAGGTTTTCCAGGAACTCCAAGTATGTGTGCGACCTCTAGTAAGCAAATGGCCACTTGGCTCTTTTGAAATTAGGCTATTAGCCACTCAGGATTCATCCGAGGGATTGGCTCTTTCAAGGTTCACATTCCCCCCACGCCCCCCGTTTATCAAAACCTGTCAGCAGACAGCACTGATGATTGATTAGGTTGGTTGCATCCCATCATCGTGCTAGAGTGGCTGGCAACCTGTTCCAGATTCTTCTAGTCCCGTGCAGAGATCCTTTGACAAGGCAGTGATCAACTGAGCAACTAGAGCCATTTACTTATGAGAGGCACTCAGGCACCTGTTAAATATGAATTAACATCTCTTGGCTTAAGCTGGCTTCCGTTTCCAGCTGGAATGAGTCTAAAGTCTCAAGGTCTTGGGTCAGCACGATCCTGGTGAGGGTCTCATGCAGATATCTGTTAAAGCAGGCTACAATGATTTTAAAGAGGAGCCAAATGCTTAGCCCAAGGAGATTCATTACAATTTGTAGGGCAGAACACAGAAGGAATCCTATACCAGAAGAAGCCGGCTGAAAATATCTGGAAATTGGAATTCTAATCCAGCAAGCCCAGCCAGGAGGCTTTCTGAAGGTGTCCTTTTCAGACAGCCAGCTGTAGGATTTGGCCAACTTTGGATCTCAGATGCTTCTAATTCAACCTGAATGGAAGTATTTACCCAGGTGCAGCAGGAAGTGTTAGTGACAGCATAAACACCACCACATGCAACGAGGAGACCGTCTAATGCAATGTGGTTGTGCAGGATCGCATGGGCAAGGGAATCTGGAAATCTCTGTTGTGCCCTGATGGTACAGGCAGTGGAGTGGGCAATTCTGCGAACCATGCAGGAAAGGTTTCTGATCCTATATTCATTCCAAGCAGGGTCTAGCCCAAACCAGGACCCCAGAATCCCTTCCCATTTAGATCCTTCACTAGAGTTAAGCCTACCAGGTAAATCACATCCTTAGGAGTATCCACAGCTATCATCTTTATAATCTGAGGGGCTATCACCAGCATAGTCATCAATTATTGGTAGAGCTCTTTTGGCCCTGGGATGTAGACTCTACATTCCCTGAGTTAGAGACTTAATAACAGTGACAGGAGCAATGGCTTGACCCAGAAAGCAAATGCCTGTGTTTTCTCAGGACCCGAGGCAGGGGTAGAAAAACTCTTTTTGGCTGACGTAGCTGCAGCCAAAAACACAGCCTGAAGGGGCACGTAATTATCCTGAGAGGTTATGAAAATTCAAGGAGCTGTTTACAGGCAAGAGAGGGTATGTGGTCAAACCAAGTACCTGTCTTAGGTAATGACAGAGTGGTGTGATCCAACCGGCAGATTTGGGGAGCCATAGAGGAGACTCTTAAGCTTTCTTTGGTATATTCTGCAGAGAGAAGTGTTACTAAGTGTTCTGTTTCTATGGGATTTGGCAAGACACAGAGGAGGGGGGTGGTGAGTATTCAGAAGAAGGGGAGGAAATGCAAGGTAGGGTAATAGGAAGGTATTTATGGGATATACCAGTGAGGAGAAAACAAGGATGAACCTCAGGAGCATGAATATGCACCCAATAGGCAACAGCAAGTGGATCAAACAGGAGTACCAAGCAACTGAGCACATTAGGGAAGCTGGTCACTGGGATGATTATAGGATTCCTGTTTCCTCCGATGACTTCGGCAGGGGGAAAGGTGACATATCCAACACTCAGTTAGGTTGCCTGCAGAGGCAAGGATTGGGATTGCTGTACCTAGGCATTATCTTCCCACGAGTAGGAGGAACTGAAAAGCAGAGTTGAGAAAGAAAGGACAAGGAAGAAGTACAGCATGGTGTAAAAAGAGGGGATTATAAAGAGTCCAGCAAGGCAGTGAGTCCCATGGCGTGTCTAAATAGTGGAATATATGGAACTACCCCAGAGTGGCATAAGACACCCAGGAGGCATAAGATTCTCAAAGCTATGATAATTAAAATAATTGCAAAGTAAACATAAGGACTAGGCATGTTAGCTCAAGATAAGAAAGAGGTTATACAGGCCTGCTCTGGTATCTTGGGAGAAAGCAGTCTACCCCAGATGTTGTCTTCTTCTTGTCCTGGTGGCTGTAGTTTGATTAACTTGAGCTTGATATCAGTGACCAGTTGGGCGGTTCACTTGGTAGAAGGATCAAGAGCCTTCTTTTTAAATGAGAAATATGGATCCATGACTCAATGCTCTGTAATTTAGCAGCACATGGGTTGGTTAAAAGTACCTGATAGGGTCCCCTTCCCATGAGGATGGAGGGAATTCTTAACTTGGTGTCTTTTCCATGAATTTCCTTGACAAAGCAGCAAATTTTTAGACTGTAACTGATTATAAATAGCTTTTTTAGAAGGATAAAAGTAAAACCATAATTGTCAGTGGATTACATAAGACTTAGAATGGCCATAGTTAAAGATGCAATTGAGAAAGAAATTTGATTAATTCTGTGACATACAAGTTAATAATAATCAAAATCATGACTGATGGTACATATCATAACAGATCAGAATCTTAGGAATCACATATAATTTTGGAACATATATGAATAATGCATTATACAAATATAACTTAAAAGAAATTAAACACTATTTCTTGTTTGATAATGCTTCCCACATGACTTGCCCAATAAGCCTAATCATTTAATATCTCTACAAGATGAAAAATACATTATTTGATGCTCTCCAGGGACCCTACTGGCAAATCCTAAAGTTAATTTTAGATCAAAAATACTTAATTTAGAATCTTGTTCCTGGGGAAAACCCACCAAATATGTAAAACGGTTCAAAATACTTGATCAAAACAGAATCACAGGTCACTACTAAATAGTAGTTATTCATTTAACCAGAGTGATAATAAAAAGACTTAAAAAGCAATAAAGAATGTTACATGGATATAAAAACTCTAACCTTTAAAAGCTCAGTTTTCTTTTTTTTTTTTTTTTTTTTTTTCCGAGACGGAGTTTCAGAGTTTCATTCTTGTAGCCCAGGCTGGAGTGCAACGGCATGATCTCGGCTCACTGCAACCTCCGCCTCCCAGGTTCAAGCTATTCTCCTGCTGAGCTCAGCCTCCCAAATAGCTGGAACTACAGGCACACGCCACCATGCCCAGCTAATTTTTGTATTTTCAGTAGAGATGGGGTTTTGCCGTATTGGCCAGGCTGGTCTTGAACTCCTGACCTCAGGTGATCCACCCACCTTGGCCTCCTAAAGTGCTGGGATTACAGGCGTGACCCACCATGCCTGGCCAGTTTTCCTTTTTTTTAGAGACAGGGTCTCGATCTGTCACCCAGGCTGGAGTACAGTGGTGTGTTCACTGCAGCCTCAAACTCCTAGGCTGAAGTGATCCTCCTGCCTCAGCCTCCCAAGTAGCTATTAGTTTTCCTAAGTAACCAAAAATTCAATAAAGATAACATGAAACATAAGAAATTATCTTAGTAAACACAGAGTCTTTGTTTTCTAGGTCAGTTACCTAAAAGTAAAGAAAAAACCTCCTGTAGGTTTTTTAGATAAACTGAAAGTTAACCTGGTACTTGAATTTAATCAGACACAGGAAGAGTGTGTCCAGGGTTATGAATGTACTCATATTATAGAGGGATGTAAACAAGAAAACTAGTACCTTGAGCAGGGAAACTCATGGCTTTTAGTGACAGCATGGGAAGTTTCCTGGTTACATGGAACAACTCAAACACATCAAGAAAACCCAACAATACAGAATCAAGTTACACTGAAGGTAACATTGTTTCTCTAGACCTTCAAGGTAAACGTTTCAGCATCAGGCCACAACAGCAGTTAGAACTGGAGAAAAAAGTTACAGTAGCTGAAGAAAAGGTTGAAGAAAAAAGATATTACCCGAGCCAAGCAAAAAGATAGACCTTTTCAAGGTTAGAAAGAAGAGCTGCATTTCTTTTTTTTTTTTTTTTTTTTTTGAGACGGAGTCTTGCTCTGTCGCCCAGGCTGGAGTGCAATGACGCGATCTCGCCTCACTGCAACCTCCACCTCTCAGGTTCAAGCGATTCTCCTTCCTCAGCCTGCTCAGTAGCTGGGATTACAGGCGCCCACCACCACACCCAGCTAATTTTTGTATTTTTAGTAGAGGCGGGGTTTCACTGTGTTGGCCAGGCTGGTCTCGAGCTCCTGACCTCAGGTGATTGGCCTGCCTCAGTCTCCCAAAGTGCTGGGATTACAGGGGTGAGCCACTGCATCCAGCCGAAGAGCTGCATTTCTAACCTGAAACTAGAGAAGTTAGATAGATCTCAGGAAGAAATGTGGCAGAAATAGAAACTGTTGTAGTTCAGAGGGTGGCTGTTAAAAAACAGATTTCAGAATTAAAAAATCAAAACCTCTTGCAATTTTTTTTTTTTTTGAGATGGGGTCTTGCTCTGTCGCCCACGCTGGAGTGCAGTGGCGTGATCTCGGCTCACTGCAACCTGCGCCTCCTGGGTTCAAGCAATTCTCCTGCCTCAGCCTCCTGGTAGCTGGGATTACAGGTGCACACCACCGTGCCCAGCTAATTTTTGTATTTTTGGTAGAGACAGGGTTTCACCACGTTGGTCAGGCTGGTCTAGAACTCCTGACCTCATGATCTGCCCTCCTCGGCCTCCCAAAGTGCTGGGATTACAGGCGTGAGCCACAGCTCCTGGCCTTAATGTATTCATTCTTAACAATTTGGAAAATTCCATGAGACGTTAGACAATTCTAGCCATCATCTCAAGTTAAATTTTCTATTAACCATTTCTACATTACTTGTCTGTTAGGCACATATCATGAAAGCAAGAATCTTAACATTAAATACATGCATATTTTGCTGATAACTCAGAAGATCTTGTTACTTTTATTAAACAAACAGTATTAAACTAGTGTTAGTTGCCAAAAGTTGACTAAAGTCACATGAACTTGAAAAGCATTTGGGCTTATTTACTTAATTTATGAATACTCACATTTATTTAAAAGTCAATGTGGGGCCAGGCCCGGTAGCTCAACAAAAACACACGAACGAACAAACGAAGTCAACTTGGTATTATGTAGACAACATACGAACAGACATGCATACACCTGTATACATAAAAATATATACAGACACAAATAAAGATTGTATGGCTTTAATTTTAAAATTTTAGCCATGTGTCAGGTATAACTTACTTGTTTAAATGGACGGTTGGATTCTAACTATGTCTCTGTAAATGGAACAGGTTAAAATTTATGTCTCACATGGCCAAAGCCCTTACTGAGTTTTAGAGAAAACAGGGTAGCAATTTACATGTCAAATAACTGAGAGAACCTAAGCTTTGTCAAGAAGGAGTTTGAGTGTGTTACAGGAGGATTACAATGGGTGCCAAGATAACCTAAAATTACAGGAATTTATCACAGGATTTTATGAGGAAAAATAAAGATGAGCCTAGACAAAGTTTAGAAATCTTTTCAAAATAATCAGCTGAAGGCCAAAAAAAAATCATATCCTGGAGACCAATTTAGTTATGTGATTTCTAACTTAGTCTCCATTTTCTAACTGTACTGCTGAGCTCAGGGCTGCCAACTCAAGCATTAGCCCCCCACTTCAAGAGAAGGAAATAGGGGCTTGATAGGCCTCTAAGGAGTTCCTTTCCAGGAGGTGCATTGTATGGGAACCGATGGAACACACGAAAAACAATGATTGTCAGTCAGGACCCCCCAGTTGGAGGGATAGAGATTTAGGAACCATCACAGGTTGGTCGGCTCCTGCAACCATCCAGATGAGTTCAGAACTCTGGCAGGGACACTCCAGAGTATCAGGGTTAAGGACAGTGGCTCAATGTCAACTAGAGCTCTATTCCCAGAATGTCCCTGGATCATCCCTTGTCCTGCTTGAGGGTAGAGGGCCAGGGACTTTATCAAGATTTAATTGCAGCCTTCATTTGTATTTGGGGCAATCCTTTTTAAAATGTCTGGAACATCTTCTGAAAACACACTTTTTTTTTTAAATTTTGGTTTTGAAGAATGGGCATGTTTGAGGTGTCCCTTGCTAATTGTTGTAACTGAAGGACCATTAACTTAGCAGCCTTCTCTTGACAGTCTAATGCTCAAGTAGCCCTAGATTCTTTATTCTTTTCTAAAGTTTTGGATAATGAATTGGCCAAAGAGGCTATTTCATAAGGTTACTTTACAGCCCAGTTAAGGTCAAGCTGTTTTACCAGGGTACTGAGAGCTTCAGAAAGACCAGCCCCAAAAAAAAAAAAAAAAAAAAAAAGGAATTAAATAAATGGAATGTTTCATCATTTAAATATTTGATCTCCAAATTTTGTTGGAAAGTCTGTTCAAATTTATCAAAATAATCAAGAATGGTCTCATCCTTTTTTTGTGTAAACGGTGTATGGCTTTTCAGTTTATCTGATGGGGAAAAAATAGGGGAATGGCTTTTAGTAATTTGGTATCCTGTTTCTGTGCCTTATCAAATCCTTGGGCACCGGTCTGCTTAAAGTCCTCAGAGTCTTTCCCATTCAGCAGCTAACAGCTGATCAAGATTGATAAGCCCTAATGATTAGGCTACAATGTTACTCAAATTCAAGGAAGTTAGTCTTCAAGGGACTAGGGAAATGTTTTACTAGGGCCAAAAGTTCTGACATGGACTAAGGAGCGTGGAATTTGCCAATTTCTACTCCCCATTATTTGGGCCTTAAAAGGGGCTGAGTCTGGAGGAAGTGGAAATGTCAGAAGAGAAAAAGAGGAATTCAGAAAGCGTGAAAGAGGAAGGAGGGAGTGAAAGGTAAAGTAGAGGCCTTGTAAAAGATGCAGCAGACAGGCAAGGTGACAGGAGAGGTGAGCTAGCAGAAGAAGGGTCTTAGGTTTTTCTGCAGCTTTAGTTTCAGTCTCCCAAGTGCTAATCTCTTTTTAATTCATTAAGATGTTTGCCTAATTTGGAATTGCTTTCTTTAAGGGAAGCATAGTAGCTCTTGATTTTATTCGAAACTCTAAAAGTACCAACTTGAAAAGGCTTTTCATTATCTCTGGGAAGTTCAGTGTTTTCTTTGTTCTAATTGTGAGCACAGATAGGCAAGTTTTAGAATTTCAAAAGAACCCCATCTTGGCCAACAAAGTTTTTAGATCATCCCAGGTAATTTTTGTCCAGAGACCTAGCCAATTACAACTCTCTGGAACATAATTTTTGCTCATAAAGCCAGTTGGAGTGCCAGAGGGCAGCTGATCATCAGGGAAACACAGAAATCACGGGTTACCCATTGCACTAAGCTGATGAAGGCATCCCTCTAGCGCACCTTAGAGTGTCCTCACAAAACCTGATGGAACAGCTGGGTCTGCAACCTTATGAAGAGGCCACCTCTGCAAACCAGATGGAGAGGCCCCCCTTCCTGGGGAGGTCTCTTTCAGGGTCCAGATGAAGAGGACTGGCTGAGGAGGTTAAATAAAGGCTCTGAGGCTTAGATCAAAAGCATGGGAGAAGTGCGCGGTGGTTCACACCTGTAATCCCAGCACTTTGGGAGGCCAAGGCAGGTGGATCACCTGAGGTCAGGAGTTTGAGACCAGCCTGACCAACATGGCAAAACCCCGTCTCTACTAAAAATACAAAAGTTAGCTGGGCATGGTGGCACACGCCTGTAATCCCAGCTACTTTGGAGGCTGAGGCACAAGAATCACTGGAACCTAGGAGGGAGAGGTTGCAGTGAGCCGAGATCATGCCACTGCACTCCAGCCTGGGCAACAAGAGTGAAACTCCATCTCAAAAAAAAAAAAAAAAAAAAGGCATGGGAGGTCTGAATTCAAGAGGGCTTACCTGAGGCTTCCTGGCATCTCTGAGAAGACAACTGAACTCAAAGGACCCTTGAAGATCCCAATGTGTTGGTTCAGGACAGCATCAGGAGAAGAATCAGTGTTGCTTGAATTCCACTTCTGATTCCAAAGAATGTGAACAAAACTTCTCTGAAAAGGAATGTAGAGGAAAGAGACTTTATTCCAGTAAATTTTTCATACCAAAGAGACACAGCTTTCATGTAAAGTGAAGGTGCAGTCCAGAGAACAATGGGAAATTTGACTTTTATAGAGGAAGTTCTAACCCAGGTTCTCACTAAAGTCCACATATACACATGAAACATTTAAATGTGCTTAGTTATGATTGTTTGACGTTTACTGAGCTCTGGTTGGTTAATGTAGGTCACAGCCTATTGGTTGGTTCAGGCAACAAAAATAGGAACAGGCAACTATGAAAGTCTCAAAGTTATGCAGACATGCAGGTTTTCATGGAACTCAGAACACGTATGTGACCTCTAGTCAGCAAATGGTCACTTGGCTCTTACTGAATTTAGGCCCAGTCACCCAGTCAGGATTCATCTTGAAGGATTGGCCTTTCAAGGTTTGCAATCCGCCTTTTCATAAATGAGGAAACTGAGACTCAGAAAGATTGAGTAGTTTTGTCAATCCACCAGTGATTAATGACATAATACAGGATTGCTGTCTGTCTGTCTGGCTCTAAAGCCTGTGCTCACCACAGCCACTCTGCTTGTGTGGATTCCCATTGAAGTAAATGGCTGCCTGGATCTCTGAAAGAAGAAGCGACATTGAATGGAGGCCGTGCTGGGATTGATTGTGGATGTCTGCCATGGACAGGAATGTGGGAAGTTGGGGTGTGTGTGCTGTGTCTATGCCATGCAGTGGAAAGAGCTCTCGACAAGGACTCCAGAGAGCTTGGCTCTTGACCTGACTTTCAGTTTATGGGCTACAGTTGCCACTCATCTGTGTATCAATGGCCTCACTCACTAAACAAAAAAAATAAGAAGATGATTTCAAATTTCCATTTTGCCCTAAAATTCTATGGCTTTTATATAGCTATTTTATTTATTTATTTATTTAATGAGACAATGTCTCACTGTTGCCCAGGCTGTAGCACAGTGGCACATTCTGGGCTCACTGCAACCTCTTCCCCTCAGGCTCAAGCAATCCTCCTGCCTCAGCCTCCTTATTTCTATGAGTATAGGCACACACCACCGACAAAGCTAATTATTTAAGGTTTTTGTAGAGACAAGGTCTCACTATATTGGCCAGGCTGGTCTTGAACACCTGGGCTCAAGCCATCCTCCTGCCTTGGCTTCCCAGAGCGTGGGGATTACAGGCATGAGACGCACGGCTGGGCCTGTGGCTTTTATAATGAAAATAATTGAATTACTCCTCCTTTCTACTGAGAAACAATGTATAAATGTATTAAATTTACATATAGGTGCATAGCTGTACATAAAAGAAAAAGAGATTTTTATAGAAAAAACAAATATTTCTATCTGAACAGGATTACCTAGAGAAGTTGCAGGATGTCTTTCTCAAAAAATGTTTAAGTTTGTAAGAAAATACCTGTCTGCCTGTTAACAAGAGCCTTCTGGATGACCAGGATTCAGAATCATGTGGATGACCCGTGTTCTTGGGTAAAAGCTCTGGAGCGCTCATCAATAGCCCACGAGCACTTACGAATGAACTCCACCATCATTCATTGTTCAGTTTGGGGATGAGTGAGCCTAGGTGGGAGGCCATTTGCATTCATCCAAACCAGACTGTATTCTTCATTTCACAGGGGTGCTGGAAGGATTAATAACTGTCTGGAAATGTAACATTTGTAAAGTATTTTGTAATCCTTGAAGAAAAGACACTGGATACATGTGAGATCATTGGCAGCCCTGAAATAACAGCATTGTTTTTCCCTCTCTCTTCCAGAAACCTGCCAATAAACTCTCTTTTTTATGTAAATGCTGTCATCCTGCTGTGAAGAAATTTCAAAGAAAAGCCATGGGAACTTCTCCCACCCTTTCCCCCTGTGATTCACCGTTGTTCTCAAAACAACTGTTTTTATGTCTGAAACGTTCAGAGCTTGAGAACTCGAGGCAGAATTTGACTGTATCTTTCCTTTTGGAAGTTGGCACACAGGCTACTCAGCAGGCACCTTCCAGTCCAAAACTCCCCATGAGAAAAGAGCAGGCTGTTTCTTTCCTTGCCCCTCCTACACACTCTGCTCTGCCTTAAGGGCTGCTTCTCCAGACCCCATCTGGGGACAGGCGAATCCAGGCAATGCATGAGTTGAGTGGGTAAGAGGCGGAAATGGGGTTGGGAGACAGCTCTGCCCACTCAGGATCAGCCCCTTATTCAGAGTGGTTAACAGCACATCCTGATGAGATTAGCCCTAATAAACATTAAAAAATACTGCAATCCCACAGTCATTAAAACAATGTGCTATTGGCATGGATCAAAGGATTATGATGTAGAACAGTCAAAACAATTTTATCAAGAAAGAACAAAGTTAGAGGACTCACTCTACTGAATTTAAAGCCTTATTATAAATATGCAATAATCAAGACATTGTAGTTTTTATAGAAAGACAGACAAACTCATGACTAGAACAGAGGATCTCAGAAATAGATTAAGACATATATGGTGAGTTGACTTTGACAATAGTATCAAGGAAATTCAATGGGGAAAGAATAGTCTTTTCAACAAATGGTGCTAGAACAATGAGATAGTCATATGCAAAAGAATCAACCTTTACCTGATACCGTATGCAAAAATTAACTGGAAATGGAGCATGGACCCATTTGTACACCTAAATGTCAGAGTTAAAACTATAAAATTTCTAGAAGAAAACAGAAGAGAAAATCTTACTGACCTTGGTTTTGGCAAACGTTTCTTAAATATGAAACAACAAGCACAAAGTATGAAACAGAAAACAAGTTTGATGTCATCAAAGCTAAAATGTTTGCCCTTCTAAAGGATATGAATATAAAAGTAAAAAAGTAAGACATAGATTGTGAGAAAATATTTACAAAATGTATGCATCAAAAGACTTGTATCTAGATTATATAAAGAGCCCTTACAATTCAATAAGAATTCAAGTAAATCAATAAGAAAAAAATACCCAAAAAATTTGAACATACACCTCAACAAAGTAGATTGACTGATGGCAAATAAACACATTAAAAACATGATCATTATCCAAAGTCATTAGGCAAGTGCATATTAAAACTACAATAAGATGCCACTTTACTCCCACTAGAATGGATAAAAGACTAACCATACTAAGTGCTGGCAAAGACATGGGCAACTAAAGTTCTTATACACTGTTGGTGAGAATGTAAAATGGTACGACCACTTTGAAAGACAGTTTTTTCTTAAAAGATGAAGGATACACATACCATATAACCCAGCCATTCAACCCATGCACAAGTGTACATGAATGTTCATAGCAACTTTATTTGTAATAACAGCCAAAACTGAAAACAACCCAAATGTTCAACAGATGGATGGATAAACACACAGCAGTATAGTATCCATAAATGAATATTACTCAACAATAAAAAGAAATAAATTATTGATACATGTAAAAATATGATGGAATCTCAAAATCATAATGCTGAGTGAAAGAAGCCAAACAAAAGAGGCTACATGCTGTATTATTTCACTTACATAAAATTTCAGAGGCCAGGCACGGTGGCTCATGCCTGTAATCCCAGCATTTTTGAAGGCGGAGACTGGAGGGTCACTTGAGGACAGGAGTTCGAGACCAGTCTAGCCAAAATGGTAAAACCCCATCTCTACTAAAATACAAAAATTAGCCGGACATGGTGGAACACACTTGTAGTCCCAGCTACTCAGGCAGCTGAGGCATGAGAATCACTTGAACCTGGAAGGTTGAGGCTGCCGTGAGCCGAGATTGCGCCACTGCACTCAAGCCGGGTGACACAGTGAGATTCTGTCTCAAAAAAAAAAAAAAAAAAAAAATTAGAAAATGCCAACTCATCTAAAGTGATAGAAAGCTGACCAGTAGTTGCGTGGGGAGGGAAGATTTCCAGGAGGAATGAGGAAACCTTTGGGGGTAATGGATGTGTTCATTATCTTGGTTGTGGTGATGGTTTCACAGGTATTTACAGATATAAACATCACTGAATTGTACAATTTAAATATGTAGTTTATTGTATGTCAATGTCATTCAGTCTTTTAAAATGCTGTCTTGATCCAGTTTTGGGGGGTTTTTTTGTTTTGTTTTGTTTTTTGTTTTTTGTTTTCTTGAGACAGCGCCAGGCTGGAGTGCAGTGGCGCGATCTCGGCTCACCGCAACCTCCGCCTCCCAGGTTCAAGCAATTCTCCTGCCTCAGCCTCCCAAATACCTGGGACTACAGGCATGTGCCACCACGTCGAGCTAATTTTTGTATTTTTAGGAGAGACGGGGTTTCACCAAGTTGTCCAGGATGGTCTCAATGTCTTGACCTCGTGATCTGCCTGCCTCGGCCTCCCAAAGTGCTGGAATTACAGGCGTGAGCCACCGCACCTGGCCCTTGATCCAGTTTTTAGGCCCTAGCTAGAGGCCTGTCATTTCCCTTTCTTGAGCAGCTAATTTAATTCCACACCCCAACCAACTCCCTTAATGGGATCTCACACTCCAGGCCACTATTCCTCTTCCCTAATTAACCCAAGGCTAAGTACCAGACAACCAAGGACAGCCCATATGCCACAGAGCCCTGAAATTATTCCAACTGGTCAATCCTAAGCGTGCCAGCCCTGCCTCGCCTGTTGCTTCCTGCAGAAACCACAATAAGGGTGCTTGCTCACAGCCCCCCTCCCTCTGCCTTCTGACCCACCCCAGTGCTTCCCTCAGGCAGCCCTCCTGTACTCATACAGACCTGTAACACTTTCTGTTTCCTTTCCCATAATCTGTGTCTGGCATCATACCTCATCCAAGGTAGTTTGGTTGAAACAGTCCATTGTACTTCCATGAAGCTGCTTAAAAACAAAGGTACAGTTGACTCTCCCTATCCTTGGGTTGTGCATCCGCAGGTTGTGCATCTGCAGGTTCCACCAACCTCAGATCAAAAATATTCAAAGAATAAAAATAATACAACACTAAAAAATGATGCAGGCTGGGTGTGGTGGCCCACGCCTGTAATCCCAGCAATTTGAGAGGCTGAGGCGGGCAGATCACATGAGGTCAGGAGTTCGAGACTAGCCTTGCCAAAATGCTGAAACTCTATCACTACTGAAAATACAAAAATTAGCCAGGCGTGGTGGCAGGTGCCTGCATTCCCAGCTACTCGGGAGGCTAGGGCAGGAGAATCACTTGAACCCGGGAGGCAGAGGTTGCAGTGAGCCAAAATCGCGCCATTGCACTCCAGACTGGGCAAAAAAGCAAGGCTCAGTCTCAAAAAAAAAGCAAATAGAAAACAATACTTCCATAGCATTTACATTGTATTAAGTATTATAGGTAATCTAGAGGTGAATGCAAGATAAGAGAGGATGGACACAGGTTATCCGCACATGCAACATCATTTTATATCAGGGACTCGAGCATCAGCAGATACTGCTATCCTGAAGGTCCTGGGACCAATCCCCTCTGGATACCCAGGGATGTCTATAAAAAAAACAGGAATGTAAAGATTATATGAATCTACTGCCATCATTTTACAAAGGAGAAGGAAGAGGAACAGAGAAAGCCATCCTCCTGCCCCTGTCATCAATTCATCAGCTGTATAAGTGGGAGAATCTTTTAACTGGAAGTGTCTGAACTTTACTGGATGAGAGGAGGAATGAGTGGGGGAAATGTAAGCTTTGGGGAATAGAAAACATCTCTTTGCAAAGAAAATGACAGCAACAAACCCCAGAACAAATAGAAGAGAACTGGTATGTGAAGAGGTGATCCAGTGGCAAACATCCGTGTATGAATAAATGGCAGTGATGACAGGTGGAGCAGCAGAATCAATACTGAGGCCAGCTAGTGGGAGCCCACACAGACAGCAAGAAGGGAGCCCAGGCAAGCCTGGCAGGGCCCATCCGACCAGAGGAGCCTTTTCCCTTAGGGAAGGCTTGGGCAGCCAGATTGTCTCAGATAATGATGGTCTTGGCAAGCAAAGGACAGCAAATGCGTGGATGTTGAGCAGGGCCACAGGTGACTCGCCACACACCCACCACAGCAGTGGAGACACAGCATGCTCTGTCTGAACCCTCCCACTCCCAGTGGCCATTCAAAACAGTCCCTTTTCTTCTTGTCCCCAACACCCTCATGGTGTCATTTCCCAGAGGCCGTCTTCTCACCTGCAGATTTTGCCCATTGACTTGTGCAGCAGCCCAGCCCTCCCTCGGGGGTGGAAGATGGCAGGGCACACAGGCCTCGGGAAAATTCTGCCCACCTGCCACACAGCACTTTTCAATGGCGGCTCACAGAGGCTGAGCAGCGCTGCTCTGTCCATCTACCCTTTCCTACCTAAACTGCGTTCACTAGACTGTGAGACAGGCCCCGGAGGGTTCCTGCTCATTCCTCCAAAAATCAATGCTTCAAAAACCAATTTACCAAATGACCAAATTCACCAAAGGACTGAGTCATTAAAAGCCGATTTGCTGAGTTGTTGACTGGGACTCACAATTACCGATTGGGACTCAGCAGGCCAAGGCCAGAGGCTACTCACACGGTTGGTGCCAAAGCCACAAAGTAATAAACAGAGATTTGGCCTTGGGCATCCACTCATTCATTCTCCCTGGATAACTCTGCTAAAGGCCTGTGGATTGAGTTGGCTTCTGGTCCAAGGATTTGGGGACCCTGGGTCCCCACTGTTGCTGTCTCAGCCTCTTGCCCAGGAGCAGTGTCTCCCGAATGCCTCTGATGTCATTTGTAGCAGCCCCACTGGTTTCTGGGTTGGAGGTCCAGGCTGCTCATAACCGAGGGTGAGCAGGCACAAAGCCTCCGATTGCACTCTAACCTGCAGAGATGCAGGCAGTCACCTGCTATTCTTGATAGATAAACCCAGGACACATAGGGTTATCCACTGCAATGAAGGCAGCTTCTCCAGCTGCCTCTGGCCTTTTATGCACCTGCACCCTCTACACTCCAGTCTCAATATTGCAAGAGATAAGCCTGTCTATAATTTAAGTAATAATGTTGAAAGATGCCCTTATCTGTACTGGAAACATGTTCTATAGATTTTCTCGCGGCCTGCTTGGAACTGTCCCTTTCCCTTGGAAATTAGAAGGGATTTTGTCACTTGGAGCCATCATGTCTAGATTTCACCAGTATAGAACTATCAGGCTTCCTGCAGCCAGTGCTAATGGAGACCGATTTTCTTTCAACGCGATGCAGGCTGCAGACCCTTGGTGAGGATGAGCTCACACTGTCTGTCCCAGCTCCTTTAAGGCTTCTGCGGAGACTTTTGGAATCTGTTTTACTGCCTTTTTTCATGGTGATCATTCATTATTCAGCCTTTCAGCATTATTCAGCTTTTTATAACCTATTCTAGCACCAGCGTTTCATTAATTCCAGGATTGATTCCATTTGAGAGACACCCAGGCTGTTTCAGCTGCCTCTGTTTCCCTCCAGCTGCTGTCTTCCAGCCTTGCTGCTCAGTGCTGCTGAGGGCCATCACCCAGGAGGAGACCTCCCTGCTTTCCTGTAGCAGGCCCCTGGTTTCTGGGTTGGAGGTCAAGGCTGCTGACAACCAAGGGGTGAATGAGCACAAAGCCTGCATTTGCGCTCTAGCCCGAGAAGAGTCCAGCCTGGGCTCCTCCCACCTCAGAAAAGGGAGAGCTGACTCTATATTTAAAAGGCATGTCATCAAAAATAACTTGTCTCTGCTCTCGCCTCCAAATTTCTTACAGCAGGAAAAGAATGAACTTGGCCGTGTACTGGAATCAGATAAGACTGCCCGAAACTTAAAAGTGTTGAGGAAAATAGAGGGCAAGTTGCTGGGTCAGTTATCTCTGTTATTCCTCATTTTATCCATTAAGGTGCTTTTCCAGAAAACCTTTCCAAGCAGTAAGGAACCTTTTAATGTTTTCCTACAACAGACTGAAAAGGAACAGGGGTGTCAATGGCCACATGCTTCCATCTGGGTGAATGTCACCGCTGAAAACCTGTCGGCCTGGCACTTTGAGATGAGTGTCTTGAAGACCTGCTGTTTCCCTGACCCTGGTAGTGTCCCTGAGAGGCTTGGAGCGGGACGGCAAAGTTCAAGGACAACTAGCATTGATATTGGTATTGAAATTAGACAGGGCGTCATTCCCACCATCAGGACTGGGACCGCTGCCTTTGTTGAACTTTGTCACTAACTAGGACTCGGGGCTGAGCTCTAGCTTTGAGAGTAGGTGCTCTTTCCGGGATGCCCGGGGAAAAAATATCAAAACATTGACTAATCTAAGCCTCATTTTTCCCAGACCATGCCCATCTTGGGACAATCAAGGACTTGGATGACAATCCCACTAGGGTTTGTCGCCAGCAGCCACCTAGACACCCCCATCCCTTGCCTTATACTTACCCACAGTTGGGAACCTGAAATGTTTCTCCTTTCAGCTATTTTTGCATTTCACTTTTCAGAAGTTTTATTATCATTCCTTCTGCCCAGGGCCTGGTGGGCCTCTGCTGTCCTAAAAGTCAAGAATTCCTTCAAATACTAAAAGTCAAGAAGAATTTTTTTAAATCCTAAAAGCCAAGAAGAATTCCTTTAAATCATTACAGGCTTTCCAGCCAATGAGTGCCATCTGGCTGGTCTTTGAGTAACTCCTTCGCTTGATTGAGCCCTCTTGTGGCTCAGGGGGCCCTTCAAGTTTTCAGCTTGGACACAAAAAGGTAAAACACACTTCAGAGAGTAGTCATATACAGTTGGCTCTCTGTAGGTTCCACAACCATAGATTCAACCAAACACAGTTAGAAAATATGCAGAAAAAAAATGTTTTCACAAAGTACCAAAAAGCAAAACTTGAATTTGCTGCATGCCGAGTACTCCATTGAATCCACATGAATGAAGTAATGTGTAGGGATTGTATTCAGTATTACAAATAAGCTAGAAAGGATTTTAAATACGTGGGAGAATTACATGGGTTATATGCAAATACTATGCCATTTTTTATCAGAGACTTGAGCATCCACAGATTTTGGTATCTATGAGGTGGTCCTGGAACCAATCCCCAATGGATACCAAGGGATGGCTGTACTAGGAAAAGTGTAAGCAGGTCATTAACGGCTATGCCAGGAAATAGGTCGACGCTAAGAACTGAGTTAATAGCAGACAGCTCTGATCTGAAGGAGGCCGACGTACTAATCCAAGGCCAAGGGCAGGCTGAGAACAGAGGTGACAGGGCTCAAGAAGGTGGAAGGGCAGAGAAGGAGGTTCCTACTGGGTGGCCAGTGCGTGGACTGAAGGAAAGGCACAGGCGTCTGACCCAGCATCTAATAGCCCATCCTCTGGTGGTCTTTAAGTGATCTAGCCTGCATGATTACTGCCTCCAATATTCTTAATATTCTCAATATGCTCTCATAGTTCAGATTTCTAAATTCATCTGCTTAGAAACCTCAAGCATTGTTCCTTAAAACAATTCCTCTGTAATGCAGCCTAGTTTTCTAAGCAAGGGAGCTTGTCCTCCAGCACTTACTGACTCGTGGCAATTGATGCCCCAGAGATGAGGACACTACATTTATCTAAATTTTTTTTGGTTATGGATGACAGAAACCCCACAAAGAATAGCTTAAGCTATTTCTTAGGAATTTAGTTATTTACTATAAATTCTTTATTAAATAATTATGAGTTTGCCGGGTGTGGTAGCTCACACCTGTAATCCCAGCACTTTGGGAGACTGGTGCCAGGAGTTTGAGATGTGCCTGGACAACCTGATGAAACCCCGTCTCTACTAAAATTACAAAAATTAGCCAGGTGTGGTGGCGCATGCCTGTAATCCCAACTACTCGGGAGGCTAAGGCACAAGAAACATTTCAACCTAGCAGGTGGAGGTTGCAGTGAGCCAAGATTGCGCCACTGTACTCCAGCCTGGGCAACAGGATGAGACTTTCTCTCAAAAAAGAAAAAAAAATTATTGGAAGGTATTAGAATGCATTGTGGGATCCAGGGAAGGGTAGACTGGCAAGTTGTGAGAAAAATGGGGATGTGTTTGGGTCTCAGGGATAACTGGAGTCAGGGTCTAGATCCCCCCAGGACTCCTCATCTCTATCTGTGACTCTCTTCAGAGGCCTGCACTCTCCCTCTCTGTGGGACAGCTTTCTCCAAAGGCGAGAAACATGAAGGCCAACTCGTGAATCTCACATTTTATTGCTCTTACTGCCAGAAAGAAACTCTCTGTTTGACTAATAATTCAAAGCATTCTGGGGGAAGATTCTCCAGGCTCAGTGTGGCAGTGTGCCAACCTGAACGCTCACTTTTGGCCACTTAGCCCACCCATAACACCAGTTAGCTGTGGGGGCAGGGGAGAGCATGCCATGGATGCGGCAGCTCCCAGGAGCGCCATGGAGTAGAAGCACAACGCGTGTTCCCAGGAGAAGCAGAGAAGCTGGGTGTCTCGTAACACAGCTGTCCAGAACCTTCAGAAAATCCTTCTTCACCTGGATAATGCCCATTTCCCCCAAGGCTCTTCTCAGGTAACACCTCCAGAAAACTTTCTCTGACCCCAGTGGATCAGGTACCCTACCTATATGCCCCAAGCACCCAGCACAGGCACCTATCTCTAGCCTTTATTTTTGATCCCCCTCCTCACCTGTGCCGTCCTGGAGAAAGCAACTGTGGCTGTGCATCTTGGCATTTCTAAGACGTAATCCAGTGCCTGTCCCATGACATGCTTTCAATTAACATTTCTTAAAACATGCATCAAAGAAACATTGAAAAATATGAGATAATACCATGGAAAGAGGCTACAGACCCACAGTATGAGTCCGTTCTCACATTGCTGTAAAGACATACCCGAGCCTGGGTGATTTATGAAGAAAAGAGGTTTAATTGGCTCACAGTTCCACAGGCTGTACATGAAGCATGGCTGGGGAGGCCTCTGAAGACTTTCAATCATGGCGGAAGGCGAAGGGAAAGGAGGCCACGTCTTACATGGCGGGAGCAGGAGGAAGACAGCGAAAGCAGGAGGTGCTACATACTTTTAAACAACCAGATCTTGTGAGAACTCACTACCAAGAGAACTGCAAGAGGGAATTCTGCCCCCATGATCCAATCACCTCCCACCAGGCCCCTCTTCCAACATTAGGAATGACATTCCACGTGAGATTTGGGCGGGGACACAAATCCAAACCTTATCACCCAGGAAGTGTAAAGTGGCTTGCAAGTCCACTGGATGCAGAAGATGAGGCCTCTGAGGAAGTCCCGGTCAGCATCGCACAGCAGCCCAGAGCAACCGAGGGTACTCACAGAGGCACCAAAACAGACTGAGTTTGTTCAGTTTATGTTGTTTAAAGAAGAGAATGTCTATTTTCAAGATTTTCATTAAAATTGTTTTAAAATTTTATATGCCGTCTCTATAAATATAAATTTCCTTCTGTGATTTCTGTGAAGCTGCAATCTCTGGATTGTCTTCTATGTTTATTTTGAATGAGGGAATGCGACAAGCCTTTATCACGTGCCAATTATGAGGCAGGAATGGTGCTGGGCGCCAAAACCATCAAGACGTTCACAGCTCTCAGACACCAGCGATCAAATCAGAATCACGCTGTCAGTGCTTTGGTAGAAGCACCCAAAGGGACTTTGAGAGCAGAGGAGAGAGAATTCTCAGTCAGGCTGGGGCATCTGGAATCTTCCAGAAGCTGCATTGTGGAGGGTGAGAGGTGAGTTGATTTGGGGTTTTTTATTACAGCACAGAATCTGGCTCTGACGAACTCAGGCAAGATGGAACCACATTTGAAAGAATCTATGAAGACAGACTTGGCAAAGGCAGGAGTCACGGCAAATCAAGGGATCTGGCTAGCAAGGACTCACAGGTAACCCAGCTGGAGCTGCAGAGCTGACTGAATGAGCTCCTCGCACTTCATGTCTTTTTTTTATGTCACTTCGGTCACATTTCCAAATCCCAAGATGAGGATCCAGGGGCCTGGGCTGAATGACACCCCTTTCCTTTGGCCAGGAGAGGACAGAGGGTGTTACTGACACCCCCACAGTGTGGCACAGGATGGTGGAGAGAAATGTTCCCTGAAGAATAAGGAGAAAGAGACGCTGATAGTAAAATAAGAAATGATCAGTAAAGTGAAAATTAGTTAAGTGAGGAGGTAGGGAAGAACATTGCAATTTTATGGAAATACAGTTGCTTATATGATTGGAGCAAAAGCCTAGTGTCAGAGAGCCATAAGAGTTAGCAAGATGAGTAGGCAGGGGTTGACCTCAAAGAACTTCCCGGGCCAGGCCACAGTCTATACCCTCTCCTGACAGACTGGAGAACCACTGGGAGGTTTGAGGCAGGAAAGAGACATAATGAGATTTGCATTTTTAAAAGATCCCTGGCAGAGATGGAACTGGATGGGAGGAGGTTGAGCTACTGGAAGCCGCTTCAGGATCTAGGGGTACAAGGTGAGCTCTTTTTTGGACACGTTGAGTCTGGTCTGAGGTTTTTCTTTTTGAGATGGAGTCTTGCTCTGTCGCCCAGGCTGGAGTGCAGTGGTGCGATCTCGGCTCATTGCAACCTCCGCCTCCTGGGTTCACGGCCATTCTCCTGCCTCAGCCTCTGGAGTAGCTGGGACTACAGGCGCCCGCCACCACACCTGGCTAGTTTTTTGTATTTTTAGTGGAGACCGGGTTTCACCGTGTTAGCCAGGATGGTCTCGATCTCCCGACCTCGTGATCCGCCTGCCTCGGCCTCCCAAAGTGCTGGGATTACAGGTGTGAGCCACCGTGCCCAGTGAGTCTGAGGTTCTTATGAGGCTTCCCAGAGTCTTCATAATCCAAATCCTACCCACTCCCAATTATAAATAACAGCAAAAAATAATAAACAATATTATTCCCTCATTCATTTATTCATCAAGCACTTAGTGACCACCTATAATGTGCAGGTGTTGGGAACATAGCACATAACAATTTCTCTCTGTAAGGACTCACAATCCAGCGCAGATAAGTGAACACAGGAATACAGCACGATAATGTTCTGCTACAGAAAGAGACTGAAGTAAATTTCCTCTTTTGCTATGAGACTTAGGTGGAAAGAAAGAGTAGTGATGATTTTAAATATTATGGTAGTCCCGAAGTCATTCTCTTGCATCCCCAAAACTGACATACTCAACTCTTCAAATATCTTTAATTTTTACATTATGAAAACATAAAATTATCCAAAAAAATTCTTCCTCCACAATTCCTTTTAGTTTCCACTAAATAGTATATTTATATTCACACATGAAGATATATTACACTGCTGAACACCAAGTAACTGAGGAGAGGTTGCAAATAGCTGGAGTAAACAGCAAATTGATTAAACCATAAGTTGATAGAAAGTTCAGACGTTGCACAAACCGTGATCGCTCTCACGACCGACACCAGTGCAGCCCTGGGAGCACATCTTAAGTCAGCAATCTGGCAACTCCCCTGTGGCCACCTGTTCCCCTTGCTGTTCTCAGTCCCAGGCTCTGGACTTCATATTCACAGGCACACACACATCCCTGCAGACATCTGTTTTCAAGAAATGGTGGTGCCAAACTCCTCCTGGGAAATGTGCTGAGAAAATTCCTCTATCCGTGAGCTGTGAAGAGCAGAAAGCAAACGGGAGGGGAGGGCCCTTCCAGCTGCCCCGCTCTTGCCCGATGGATGGCTGCCGTCCACCTGACGGCACCCATTTCAATGACAGCCGCTAACATCTTCCAATGCTTCCCTGGTGTCTTGCTGTGACAGTTAATTTTGTGTGTTAATGTGGCTAGGCTGCATTGTCCAAACATTTGGTCAAATGCTATTCTGGATGTTTCTGGGGTTTTTTTTCAATGAGATTAATATTTAGATGAGTAGATGTTGAGTAAAGCAAATGACCCTTCATAATATGGGTGGACCTCATCCAATCAGTTGAAGGTCTTAATAGAACAGAGACCGACTTCACCTGAGCAGAAAGGAATTCTGCCAGCAGCCGGCCTTTGAACTCAACGTGCAACTCTTCCTTGAGTCTCCAATGTGCCAGCCCACTTCCATCTTGCAGATTTTGGACTTGCCAAGCCTCCAAGATTTTATGGGTCAGTTACTTAAATCTGTCTGTCTGTCCCTCTGTCTCTCTGCATCTCTCTATCTTGTTGGTTCTGTTTCTCTAGAGAACCCTGACTAATATACTTGGCTCATCTTCAGCTGTGTGTCCAGATGTTTTGCCCCCAAGACCTGTAGTCAGCCTCTAGGGCCTCAATCCCAGCACGGTTTCTGCACCTGCCGCGCCGTGGTGTGGAAGGAAAGGTGAGAAGAAGGTGGGCTGCAATGGCACAGCAGTGCTGGGCAGGAAACCTCACGCTCAGGCCTTATGTGAGCCTTTCTGCCCCTAATGCCCTCCTCAACCCGTCTATGAGAATGTGAGGCTTCCAATTGTGCTGCACTTAATTTGAAAGATTGGCAGAGCAAGACTGTACCAGAAAGTTCCCATTGAACCCTGGCCATCGACGCAGCCCCTATAAGGGGTCAAGAGCGTGCCAGCCCCTCGCCCCTCTGCATTCATCAGCATTGGTTGAGTACATGCTGTGACTGACCGGTGTTGGTACAATGGGCACAGAGATTAATAAGACACAGCCACTGCCCCCAGGGAGCCAGAATTTCATGTCCCTTTTCTTTTATTCTTCCACAAAACTGGAAACATCATCCAGACATGAGAATTTCAAGATTTTTAAAAAAAATCCTTTCAGAAACCACTTAAAGGGAAAACCTACTGATCACCAACTGAGGGCTGAATTTTGACAGCCCCTAACATCCAGGTGACTATACCCAGGGGCATAACGGAATTCAAGTGCTAAGGAACCACAGGCATTTTAAAGATAAATTTAGTGGCATTTTTAGGCACTGTTCTTAAGCCTGTCTGTTCTACTCCCTGAATTGGGGGCATAGCTTTTAGGTTCTTGAAAGTGAGGCTACATCCATTACAGGTCAGATTCTTAAAAAGGGATATGCATAAGAGTTTATAGAGTTTTAAAATATATATGTTTTTAAATTGTAGCCAAAATAGAGCACTCAGAGGTAATTACAGGCTTCCTTTAGAAGCAAACGTGGTTCAAAACTTCTTTCCCAGGAGGCTGTGTAGTTGTATTCACATTGTCGTCACTAGGTGGCAGCAGAGGGACTTCTGTGACTTTCAACCATTGGCTTTGGAAGGGATGGCGGAGGGGAGGCAGCTGACTCAGACTTCATTTTAGTGTAGGTGAGTGTGCGGCGTTTTCTCTGGGCAGCAACTATGTTAAACCACCATGGTACCTATTAATGTCAAATAAGTACCCCACAGTATAGAATTGATTTTAATACATCATTATCAGTATGTGGCCAACAGGGAAATTTGCTAGATCTCAGATGCACTTTGTCTCCATTGTGTGGCCTTTCCTTGGTGTTTTTGAATAGTAGAGATAATCTAGTTTTAAAGCTGGTACTTTTGTGAATGTGTACTTTCATACTCCATGTCTCAGGTACCCCTAGAGGACTCACTTAGAATATTAAGTGAATAATATAGAATAACCCCAGGAGTATTCACTTCTCTCTTCTCAGGCTGCCTTGGTGCAGACAAATATATTGTCCCCAACTTCCTGCCTTGTGCCCCAAGAAGTCTTACTAAAATGGTACATATGGAAACAGCAGAATGTGACTCTGTTCTCTGTGTCTGGAAATGAATGGATCAACCCCCAGTTAGGGATGCTGTAGAGATGTTTCCTGGATTGAGAAAGATAAATATTAAATTAAAAGGTGACCGAAGTTCCTTCTAATTCTAGGATTCCATTACTTATAAACATATGGCAATTACAATAAACTAGCGCTCCACAGTAACTCCCAATGAGCCCGCTTTGGGGATACCCTCCTTAAGACACGTTCAGATCATGCAGTAGCTACAGTTTATACCACTCAGCCTTGAGCTAGAGGAGCTGCTCCACCAGCCCCTTCCTCTGTTTTCTGCCCCTGCATGGGCCCTTCCTCCACGGCCTTTATCACTGCATGGTCTTACATTTACTCGGGTGCTTGTTGCATCAATGTCTACCTCCTATCCTTCACTGAAAGGTGCAAAGGACAGAGACTAGGTCTGTCTGTGCTCAGCACTGTATCCCCAATACTTCACAGAGTAGGAGCACAATTGTTGAATGAATGACTGCATGCCAGTCCCCCTTGGGACTATCACTTTTCAGAATGGAAACCATCTGCAGACCTGGGCATCTTCATGTCCATTTCTCAGTTTCTGAGCTGGTTCTGGCTTTCTGCAGCTCAACCTGGTGCTCACAGGAGAGCTTGAGAACTCTAGAGAAGCAGGTGATTGGCCCTCTGAGTAAGGTTCCTTCCAGCAAAGTTTACACCGTTTGACCTGCCAAAACAAAGACTTGACTTGAACTGTCCCATCACATTGTAATTCCAGGGTCTTGGGCTGCCCCTCCCATTCAGAAGAGAGTTCTTTATGTCTGCAATAGACCCACATCCCTCTCCATCTTTAACTAGAACCATCAGAACACTGCCACTTTTGTTCTGCTTCCAAAATTCCCAAAATGGGTGATTTTGCCCCCAAAGGACTCACATACCAGTGTAGCCCTAGTGGGAAGCAGGACGGAGGGCGTCTCCCAGGCATATCAGACAGCACAGGGGGAAAGGATGCCAACACATGTTAGGATATGACCTGATGTGACCTAATATGACCCTTGACAGGTTCTTACTTCACATGTTGGCTTTAGTTTCTTCGTCTGTAAAAACAGAAGGTTTGGTCAGATAGCATCTCAAGTCTCTTCCACTCCTGAAAATCTGTAATTATGCCTGGGTCATGTGGCTCAAGGGCAACTACCCCATCCCAGGTGAAGATATCCCATTTCTAGACACACTAGTTTGAAGCCTGCTTCAGTAGATATATTTCAATCCCCAAAGAAACTATAAAATGATAGGAGCTTTTCCCTAGATTTTCTAACCTTCTCCTTAACACATTATGGCTGAATCTCTTACAGATGTTTCCTGACAGATCATAGTGAAATTACCTCTCAAGAATGATAACAATCAAATGGAACTTTGTCATTTTTTAATTTAACATTCACTATTTGGAGTTTCCTCAAGGATTTCCAGAGGCCTACATGATTATGGCACAATGGGTAACTTTTCTGGGGCCCGATTTTAGTAGCAGATGCTACGCTGAGCCGCTTGGCCAATCGATGGGCCTGCCCACCTCCAGTCTCCACAGGGAGACGCAGCCCTGTTTTTCTCTGCTTCCCTTAGCATACTCAGCGACCATCATGAAGTGATAAAAGTTTCACTTCTTTAATGAAAACAGCACCCAAAGAGAGTCTAGTGTTTATGTTGGTGACGAACGTTGAAAGAAAGTGAATAGCTGTAAGAAAATGACAGTTCTTCCAGAAAGTGGAAGTTTTAGCTAATTATGGCATGGTAGTAGCTCTAGTCTTTTAAGGGAAAGAGAGTGTGTGGGAAATCCCTCAGTATTTTTTTTCTCTCCTTCTTCTCCACTCTCTGGTGCCCCAACCCTCAGGCAAGCCCACAGCAGGCTCGGTGCAGCAGCAAAAGAGGCCAGCAACAGGAATCTGCAGGAGCTACAGCTCTGAGGGAGAGAAACCTTGCTCTCAGTTCAGAAGAACCGCAGCTCCAAGAAGGTGCCACAAACACTGTTGCCTCTCTGTCTTCCTCTCTCTCTCTCTCACCCTCTCTCTCCCAGCACTGCTGTAAGGCAGTCACAGAAGTGGGTAGTTACTGGCTGGACAACCATAAAATAAAGCCTCAGGGAACCAGAGGTGCTAAGGAGAGAGCAGAGAGAGAAGAGTTTGGGAAAGCATACAGCATTATCCCCAGAGAAGTAAAAATAAATAAATAAATAAATAAATAAATAAAATAAGAGTGTCTGGGAAAGGAACTCCATAAAGAGGTTTATGAACTCCTGGCTAACCCCTGGCCTGAGCATGTCTAAATCTGATCCTAATTGGCATTCAAAAGACCTTGAGGACTGAGCTTAAGAGACAGGTCTCCCCAGGTTCCAGTCTGACCTTTTAGGTAAGGAGCACTCACGGGGGGCACCCAATTGGGAATGATCTGAGTAGCATTGAAAGGCTTTGAAAATTGAACTAACATTGGAATTGCAGCTCAGAGAAGGTGGGTTGAAATGTGAGGCCTGAACTTAACCAGGTCAAGTGCCCGCCAAAACAAAAATGTCAACATCTTCCATAGGATTTAAACAAGACCTGAAGTCTTATATATAATAATCAAAATGTTCAGGGTACACTCAAATAGTATTCAGCATATAAAGAACCATGAAAACCTCAACATGTATGGGAAAAGTCAATCAACAGATGCCAGTGCCATGATGACACCAATGTTGGAAGTATCTGACAAAGCTTTTAAAATGCTTGTATGAGCAATCTTGAACACTCTTGAAGAAAAAGCAAAAATACAAGGTATCATTAAAGAAATAGAAGATATACAGGACAAAAATCAGAAATTTTAGAGTTGAAAGCACAATAACCAATATTAAAAAAAAACAAACACATTAGCTGGGTTCAGTACCACAAAGGATGTGACAGAGGAAACAGTGAACTTGAAGATACATCAAAAAAAGAGGGAAAAAAGGTTGAAAAAAATCTAGTAGAGCTTCAGGTACATATAAGACAATAATAAAAGTTCTAATGTTTGTGTCTCTGGAGTTTTAGAGGACAAGAGAAAGAGTGCAGTGCTGAAAAAAAGTCTGAAAAAACAATGGCCGAAGACTTCCCAAGTTTGGCAAAGGATATAACCTACAGATTTAAAAAGCTGAGTGAACTTTTAAAAGGATAAATACAAATAAAATTATGCATAGATGCATCACAATGAAATTGTTGAAAAATAAAAAGAATGAAAAAAGTTTTAAAGCAGCCACAGAAAAACAGTGCATTGTCAATAGAGGATTTTCAATTTGAATAACTATAGATTTTTCATCAGAAACTGCGGAGACCAGAAGGAAGTAGAACAACATTTTAAAGGAGAGAAGGAAGGAAGGAAGGAGGGAAGGAACTATAAACTGAGAATTCTGTGAAATAAATACATTCTTAGATGAAGGAAAACTAAGAGAATTCTGACCAGTGTACCTACTTAAGAGATTTGCTAAACAAGTTCTTCAGGCTGAAAGGAAATGATCCAAGAAGAAATCTCAGAACTTCAGTAATAAAAGGGAACAACAGAAATGGCAAGTATCTGGGTAAATATAATAGACTGTTCTTCTCTTTTTGAGTACTTTAAAACATATCTGATGTTTGAAAGCACAGGGTATAACATTGTCTGATGGAGTTTTCAATGTGTGCAGATGTAATACATAAACGAGAAAGGAAACCTACTGGTAAGTTTTACACATTCCAATTAAAGTGGTAAAATGCTGATTATAAATTGCCATTAAAGTGTTAAGTTTGTATTTTTTTAAATCCCTAGAGCAACCACTAAAATTTTATATGAAAAGATATGGTTAAAATCAAAATAAATTCAGATGGAATGCTAAAAAAAAAAAAAAAAAAAAAGAAAGTTCAAATAATACAAAAGGCAGGAAAGAGAAGACAGACAGGAAGAAAACACAAATAATAAAATGGAAGACCTAAATTCAAACATATAATTACATTAAATGTAAATGGTCTAAACAGTATCTAGTTTTTACCTCAACTTTGATCTCCCTTTAAGGAATCCTAACTAAAAGATTTTGGAGACTTCCAGAAACCACTGGACCATACTTCTAGAATCACTGCATTTGAATTTTTATCATTTAAAAATAACTGAAAGTGTTGAAAATGGTTGGCTCTGGGGAGTTGGCATTGTGATGGCTTTAGGGAGAGGTCTGCAAAGGAACTAATTTTTTGTCTAATCTACACGATCTGACATAGACTGCAATACATAAGTTAATGTCTTTTACTACCATACAGTTTTCAACTATTTCTCTAGCATGGTGGTGGGCACCTGTAATCTCAGCTACTTGGGAGGCTGAGGCAGGAGAATCGCTTGAACCCATGAGGCGGAGGTTGCAATGAGCCAAGATCATGCCATTGCACTCCAGCCTGGGCAACAAGAGTGAAACGCCATCTTAAAAAAAAAAAAAAAAAGGAAGAAAGAAAAGAAAAAGAAAAACATCAAACTTCATCTGCACTATAGACCAAATGGATCTAATAGATATTTACAAAACATTTTATCAAACAGCTGCAGAATATACATTCTTTTTCTCAGCACATAGATCATTTTCAAGGATAGACCATATGTTAGGTCACAAAACAAGTTTTAAAACATTCAAAAAATTGAAA